>NC_000012.12:41399521-41551037 GCF_000001405.40 Homo sapiens | reverse complement strand
AAGACAAAAAGTATTCATTTAATTGTCTAAAATCTGAAATAGTTACCAGTACAAAATGAAGGAAAACTTACTTAACTTCAAACAAGAGAATATTTCCCAGAACACTCTGTACATTTGAGTATATATCCTCCTTTTCAATTTTGTATTTGAATGAAGTCCTTGTCAGTGGATAATAACCTGTTTAAAAATGATGTGCTGTACATCATGGGTAAATCCTTAGCAAGGGGATTTGCTCTCATAAACTCCAGTGACCAATAATTTCACAGATAATAGCAAATAAAACTAAATTTAAATCCTCTATTCTGAGATAGGTACTGCAAATTAGTGAAATGCATGAAACTATGAAGAATGCTGACTTTCTGACTGGTGGACAAAGATACTCTATATTATAGTGCTTAAGAAGGTTATAGTGTAGGCTGCACAGTAAAGAGAAAAGGTGAAACATCCTTTTTCCTAGACGTAGACTAGGAAACAGTGAAATGATTTAGCACCAGAAGCAAAAATGTACACACCAAGCAAAGTTCTTTTCAAAACTGGTAATAATTAATGCCTCCAGAGGGAAAGAATACTTGACTAAAACTGCAACATTAGGAAGGAATTATAGCAACAAAACAGCTTCAATTACAGCAACAAGGTATGTAGTTGAGGAGTATCTCTTAGTGATTCCTAAGAGGCCAATAAGGAAAACTACACACTCCAAAACGAGCTGAGATTGGGACCTTTAAATCAATACAAATGAGGAGCTGTAGCCAAAGCTGAAATCCACCGACTTTCAATGCCCTAACAAAGCACGGAAGCAACTCTCAGTATTGTGAGAAGACATTTTCAGCGGGGGACATTCTTTTTTGAACGTTTTCTCCACATTCTCAATGGTGTACTTTGACTTTGGTGTTTGCTTAGAACAACTTTTTGGCAATAAAATTGAGTGAATGTATTAAAACAAAAAGGGCACAATCTGCCTATAATTCTTCGACACCACAAATCAAAGCACTTACCCAAGTATCTCAGAGGAAAGGAGACTAAGGTCCTCAGGTCAAAGTAACTTTTCAATATTTTCCTTACCTTGGACCAAACCAAAACTGTGAAACAGGTCTCAAAGTTATCTCCATGGTCTTTGTTTCCAATATTCCCCTTTGTAAGACACTCAACACCCTCCTATTTCCTTTCAGCTCCTTGGAGTCCTTGAGGTATGAGTATTATAGATTTGCCATTTTGCTTGTCCCCTAACAAAACCTGGCATTCAGTGTGATTTTCCATTCTCTCACAGATAACTCTTGAGACATACAAATAATTGATACATAAATATCTCTCAAAGGAATCATCATTAACAATTACTTAACATGTGACCCCATCAGGCTTTAGCGCATATTAATAAAGGCTGAAAATACAAAGCCTTAATGCAAGGGACTAAACCCTTGGCAGAAAGCCTTCAGGCACCATAAGAGACCCAAGTGAGATTTTTCTGGAACCTGCAAACCACCTCACACCAGTCCCAAGTGTGAAGTTGTATTTCTTGGTTGAGATTGTCTCAGATACTACATAGTTTATATTAAAACACAGAAACATACATTTTAGAATCAAAGTTCCCTTAATTCTGTGTCAAAATAACTCATAAGCAGCTACCTGTAGACAATTTTGTTTGTAGGAGGCAAAGGTGGCTTTATAAAGACTTTGATTATCTGAAAGGAATTCTGCAGCACAGGTTTAATTAAGTATTCCCTTCACAGGACACACAAGCCTCTGACTTCTGAAGAAACAACCTCTTGGTAATAGAGAATGTTTTCCCTAACAACTTTCATACCTTTCCCTCTGTCACTTGGAAGCTGTTTGATGAAACACATAAAAGTGAAATGCTACCTCTGTACATTTTCTCCATGGAGACAATTCATGAGTGTATACAAATCAATGCCAAGCCTGCATGGATGGCAGCGCTAACCATCCATAAGTCATTTGTCACTAGAGTGAAAGAATCACTTCACACACCTGGTGAAACTACATTTATTTTGACTTAAATGTACTTCAAGACGTGCTATTCTGGGGACGCGTCTAAAGTCTCTTTAAAAAAAATCAAACTTCAGCATCTAATATTGTGAGAAATTGATTATATATAGGTTGAAGGTGGAGTAGAAGATTAGAGTTTGTTATTAAAGCTTGCTGTGAAACATCTTTCTAATCATAGAATGACACAAATGGGATTTTTACATACATTGGTTGTACTCCAGCGGTGTGAAATTTTTATATTTTTTTGTGATTGAGTCTAGGGAGAAATGAGAAACTTAGAAAAAAAATGCTTTCTAGATAGAACTCTCTCTTACTGGGGAAAGAAACAAGAGTTGACACTGCTTAAAAAGCATTGGCTTTTTAAGCAGCATTGTTCTCAAACTTTAAAGAACCCTTAGGCCCATGCATGCCATAAAGATTTTCCTCTTCGTAAGAAAATTCAAATGCAGTCAGCACTATTCAAGTTTGAAGAAGAGCTAGGGCTAGACACGCTAGCCGTTTATATCAGTTGACAACAGGGGAATGTAGGGTCTTTTATGTCCATATCTTTATTTATTTTCCTGGTTTTCATTTATTAGACAATACATGCACTTTTACTCAATCTGAGTGTTAATCATATATCATCTTACATTTTTTAATGTTGATTAGCAACTAGTGAAATATGCTTTGTTGTTCCAATAAAACACTTATTTCAAAAAATAAATCAAATGAGAAATATTAAAACTTTAATCCCCACAGCTAAGAGAAAGCTAGATAGTCTATTATAAAAATATTGCTTCAGTATCATTATCTCCTGCATAATGGAATCTGGGGATAATACTTAGTGAAAAATAAATCACGAAACTCCTGGAATATCAAATCCCTCTGACAAAACATTTCAGGTTTGCACCCTCCAACTCCAAATTATTCATAACAAGTTGCTGCAACTAATAATTAAATCACATTTCTGTAGAGACATAAGGGTAAAAGCTAAAGCCTATGATCATGTCTTTTCTCTAACATCCTTAACCCCGCCTGTTTATTTGACTACTTCTTTTTCAATGGTCTTCTGAAATATGGGCAACTTTTAACCTCCAATTTCCCATTCTTAGAATCAGAGACATTCTGGATTCTTTGGGAAAGAAAGCAGTCACATTTCTCTAGGCCCAGGTTGGCTGCTTCTCACTGTGGGCTGTGAATCCCCTTAAAAAGTCATCAATGACCTATTTGGTGTAGATTTTATACCTTAACAAAGAAGGAAACATTATTTTTGCCTCTACTGTTAATGGGGGAGGAAATGAATTCATGATGCTGGCAAACAACAGTCGATGTCAGGAAATCTGGACCAGGAATAGAAAAGAGAAACATAAATTGAAGTAAGTGAGAAGTGATTCATACATTTTGTTTTTATTTTATTTTTTAATTCTTTTTTTGAGACAGAGTCTCACTCTGTCGCCCAGGCTGGAATGCAGTGATATGATCTCGGCTGACTGCAACCTCCACTCCCAGGTTCAAGCGAGTCTCCTGTCTCAGCCTCCTTAGTAGCTGGGATTACAGGTGCCTGCCACCACCCCTGGCTAATTTTTGTATTTTTAGTAGAGATGGGGTTTCACCATGTTGGCCAGGTTGGTCTCAAACTCCTGACCTCAAGTGATCTGCCAGCCTTGGCCTCCCAAAGTGCTGGGATTAGAGGCATAAGCCACCGTGCCTGGCCATGATCCATAAATTTTGTGTCATTACTTCTGCTGTGACAACTAGGGAACCAGGCAGACTGCATGGAAACCTTTCCTAGAATGGGCTTCCACCCAAAAGCAATCTGTCTAAAACAAAGAACAAAGCTATAGAAGGAAACCAGGAAGACACTTCTGTTTACATCAGGAAGGTTTTTTCCCCCTTCTCTATTTTGCTTGTTGTATCTTTTGAGGAAATTGCAATTACTTTGCTATTTGTTAGTGTCATGTGGTTTACCTTTGGAAGAATCCAGAATCCAAGGTTTTTCATAGTTGAATGTTGAGTTTTTAGCAGATATTAAAATGATCATTTATTAGGTTCCTAAAGGTATTGCTAACTATCCACGGCCATTTGTGATTTGATTTCCTGACTCACATGTCAGTTTTTGGGAGATCTCCATCAAAATAGTTTAACATGCTATAAGCAATGTGTAGAAGAGGACATTCATAAAATGTCATTTTCATAGTTGCCTTATTTTAAAAATAGCAATGTTAAGCACTTCACTTCCTGGTCAGCTCAAATGCTCTTGCATTCCCACTCCAGCACTTTTGTTCTCTCGCTAGAGCTCGAACCTGTTGACCCTTCCCCTTCTCACTGTCAATAATTCCCTCAGGCTCACTCCTGTCTCCTTATGCAGCTTGAAATTCACAGTTAGATGTAGTATCTTTTTTTTGGCTTTTAAAATAACCTTTATTTTTAAAAAGTTAATATGTGCATTATAGGAAACTGAAAAACACAAGAAGCAAAGAACAAAGTCATTCACAATCACAAGCAGTTTATAGTTTGACATGTTCTTCTAGGTCCTGTGCATGTGTAGGCACAACATTCAGTTTTATGGGACTGAGATCGTACAGTATGTATCATGATTTTTCACACATCATGAATATTCCCAGTTCAAAATCCCAAAGCTATACGAGTATTTTGATAACCAAGAATACACTACACCAACTCAATCTGTTAAACAATAATCTAATCCTGCCTTTCTTGGGACAAAAATGGCAACATGACTCTAGATAAAAAGCATTGGCAGAGTTCCGAAATCCTCAACTACCCTGTTCTCTTTGTCCACTGTATCATCCAGAAGAAGGTCAATTGTGGTTAAGACCAAGTATTCACCTCCCTGCTTCCCCAGCTGAGCAGTGACATGGTCCCAGAGGGGATGCACACCATGACGACCATAGTGACTGCTTTCCCTGTACGTTCATTACCACAATTTGCAAATGAGCAATCCATGCTGCCCGACAATTATACTCTACTTTCCTTGCCAAGTTGCTGTTTCACATGCTAAAGGAACTAGTGCCATAATTCCTCCTCTTTTTTCAAATTTCCAACAAAAACCGCCCACTCTTAGTTGATGACGTTATCTGATAGTTCACTGGATCCTAGTGGATTATTATGACCTCAACTTTCTGCTCTCCCAGTCTGGTATCTCGTACCTCTTCTGTCTGCAGTTCTGCTACCATGCCCTTCTCTCTCTTCATGCTTGGCTGGTCATCTTGTTCTAGACTTCATGGAGGAAAAAGAAACCATGGAATGGAAACCTCTGTGTCTTCCCTCCACTTGTCAATCCACATGCATTTGTACGTAGAAAGACTCTCTGGGCTGCCTTTCTATACAGCAAAAGAAAAATCCCCAATCCTACCAAAGTTGAGTGCCTCCATTCATGCTCTGTAAACCATTCCTTTATTATTTTTCAAGAATTTATCTCATGGAATTATTCCTTCTTATCCTGTATTACTTATTTCAGTATCCTCATTAGATCACTCTCATTGTCACACACACACACACACACACACACACACACACACACACACACATTAATATCATCAATATGGGCTGGGGCAGAGGGAAATCTTGTGGACATGGTAGTCAGTTCTAGGTTGGGGGCTACTGGAAGAATCCAGCAAATTTTGAAGAGATCATAAAATTAGTCTTGGTGTTTACCAAGGAGACCAAATTTCCAAACAGAGAAACATTGACCATGCAAAGGCACAGAGGTAGGAAACAGCATTTCATGTTAGAGGAACTTTACGTAGTTAATGTGTGCGAAGCTAAGAGTTTAAGATTGGGCTGGGTGAGGGGTCATGGTGAACACTAAAACTGCAGAGGTAGGCAAAGGCCAGATCACGGAAGGATGACTACACCCTATTAAATAATTTGGGTTCTTTGCAAAAAGTAAACGGGGCTATTATAAAAGAAATAAAACTATCATATTTGTAGTTTAGAAAGATGACTTCAGCACTAGCATAGTGGGTGAGTTGGAGGGATTAAGCGAATGTTACCAGTTCATGCAAGAGAAGCTAAGGGCTTGAATGCAAGCAGTGTCATTGTCCTATCGGTTCTTAAACACAGTTATCATTATTTCCATTTCATAGATGAAGAAAAGAAGCCACAGAGAGAACTTGGGCCCAAAGTCACACAGCAAGTCAAAAGTGGAGTTGGGATTCACATTCTAGCTAAGGGACCTGGTCTGAATTCTAAACAGCACCTTCCTCTGATTTCATAGTATATTGCTCTTTCTCATTTTTCAGCTCTCAGCTTAATTGCCAGATGGTACCACTGTCTATCACTCTTTCTGAAATAGGGGTCCTGAAGTCCTCTATCAAAATTTCACTGATGCTTAGTAGCTTCTTGGCAATTATGAGCATTTATTTTTCTTTCTTTTTTTAATTAGAAAATTTGTATTTCATTAAGATGTTTAGTTTTAAAATACCTGTTTATTGTTCTCTAAGAAGGTCCTTATCTGTTAGGTCTGTTATTATATCCCACAGCATTAGATATGAAACAAAAAGAAATTTGTTTCTCTGAGGATGGCACCTTGCCTTCTTTTTCTTTGCATTTATAGTACCAGCAGAGGACTGAGAGCTTATGAGAAGCCCCACATGCGTTTGTTGAATTAGTTAACTGCTAAAGCGAAGTTGGGTGTAGAGTGTAATTGCTTTTGCTATATTTGTACAGCAGCATAATTGTCTTAGATTAAGTAGAATACGTTCTGAAAGCTGTACAAACAATAGATGTGACCCAGTCTCTTATCTCTGCCAACAAGAAAAGTAATCAAAAAATGAACTGTAAAATTAAAACAAAATTATCTATGAAGTTACTCATTCTAAGAATTCCTCTAGCATGTTCAGTTTTTACTTATTCACTTTACTCACTGGACATTTTCCTAGCACCTGCTACATGCAATGGATTACACTTGGAAACTTATTATGTACCAAACATTCCTCTAAATGATTTGTGAATAATGTTTCATTTAATTGTTAAGAATCTGATAGGATAATACAGTGCACAGTAGTTATTTCTGGTCCATCTAGCATTTATTCATGGTTTTTTTGGAAATATGACCCTAAAATTTATTTTGCAGAATTACACCTTTTTCTTTCTAGTCCATGTGTTTGTTCAGGGCTGATTCCAGCTCCAGGGCTGGGCTTGTGATCTAGGGATTAGCTAATGAGTGCATTTTATTTAGTTCACTGGGTATAGTGATCATTTCAAAAATGAGGATTTAGTTCAAGCCCATCAAAATCAGGTTCATGACTTTTGTTGAAACTATTAGGAAAAGAACACTTGTCTTTTCTATTGTATTTGAACCACAAAAATGTAGATCAGGAGTAGCTCAAAGCTTTATCATGCCACAATATATAGACCCTGAGAATGGATTCAAAAAAGCGAATAAAAGCCAAAGATGGAGAAAGATTGAAATTTAGTGCCACTATTTGAGCCCCTGCAACAAGTTATATCTAAAACAATAAACCTTTGGAATTTTTAGCAAGGAGAGCCAATAAAACTCCTTTTTCCCTTAAGCATTTGTTTTGGGTCTTCTGTTTCTTGGACTGTAGTCCCAATTGCTTTTTGTAGGTATTATCTACAAATTTTATGTTATAAATGAGGAAATTCAGAGCCAGCATTAAGTAATTTATTTAAGGTCACTCAGCAACTACTCATCAGAATCAGAAATTGAACACAGATCTCTCTCTCTCTCTCACACACACACACACTTTTTAATTCTGAAGATTGCTTTTTCAAGAGATGCATTCTTATAGTCCAATGGTCATTTAAGAGATCATTGTCTATAGACGGAGGCTTAAGCACATAAAGAATTCACTATAGTGCAATGGGATATGTAGTAAAAGATAGATTGGATGAATCAAGAGGCAAGATGAGCCACAAGAGGGGATGCTCCAGAGAGAAGCTACTGTTTACATGGAGGGTGAGAAGTTCAGTGTTGGCTACCATGAAGAGGGTTTAGGGATGTATTAAGAGAGGACACTAGAGAGGTGGATTAGGATTGATTTCTAACAGGTCTCATAACCAAAGTCCTGGGCAGAAAAGGGAGAGGGAGGCCAATATGCATAATCTGTGGCTTCCATCTTATATAAAACATAAGCAATTATAAAATTAGGATGATTGAGAGAAAGCAAGAACTTGATTTTCTGGTATTTAACCCAAGCAAAAGCATAAATTTCTTCTATTTTATCTTTAGTATTGATTAGATTTTTTAGAAAAAAAAACATAATTATGATTTACTTCCTAGAATTATTTGGGAGGGAATTTTAGACATAATCTAACTTGCCTTCTATCTTTTCTAAATTGAAATGACTTACCCACATTCATCTGACAATTTAGTGGCAGAGCTGAGAGTAGAAACCAGGCCTCCTGACTTTCATTCAGTTGCTCTTTTTTATTGTTACCATGCTGATACTGTTCTTCAATCAAGTCATTCCGACCTGGAACTGAGGTCTGGGGGTTCATGGAAACGTGTGTGTTGGGGGTGGCAGAATCACTGAATGGGAGAGAGATGCTGAATGAAGCGTATTATCCAGATGAAATGTGTGGAGGCAGGAACAAGGTGGAGAGCTTCGTTTGTTGTGATGTCAACTGAATGAGGATGGAGAGCATAGAATTCTTAGGAAAGCAAGGCTTGAGTTGAAAAGATCTTTACTATTCTTTCAACCCTTAGTGTCTATAGCAAATTTAAAAAGAAGAAAGAGCAGACTTCACTTTTATAGAAGAGTACTGTCCATTCTTGGAGAGGCTCAAATCCCTATTGTAATGTCTATAGTGCTGCTTTCACCTGGCCCCGCGGTCTTGATTGCATCTCCACTCTCAGCATTTGTAAACTGTCTTTCCTTTGAATTACTGAAAATAGCTCTTCAAAAGAGAGTGTTAACAACCTTCTTTTGACATTAGCTATGTGCACTCTGCAAAGTAAGCAATCCATAAGGACGGGGTGACCCTTTGTGCTGTGGTTGTCTCTGATTCGATGATTGTACTTCTTGGTTACATCTGTTATCATGCTCTTGAGTTGGCTATGTTTTCAGCAAAGGAAGTCAGCTAAAGAGATACCATCTACTGTTTGGGATACTGTTTTATAGTTTAAAAAGTCACTTTGAAGACATATTCACTTCAGAAAGGCAAAATACCTTTTGCCTAAATATAAGAGCAGATACAGATAATAGATAGCTACTTCGGGTGCCAGAAAGAGGATTGTCAGGGATAAAAGCAAAGTCTAAACATTCGCAAAATGATCCACAAGAGTGCCTTCAAGGGAATTTTTAAAAATAGGTCTAGAAGGGCCGGGCGTGGTGGCTCACGCCTGTAATCCCAGCACTTTGGGAGGCCGAGGCAGGCGGATCATGAGGTCAGGAGGTCAAGACCATCCTGGCTAACACGGTGAAACCCCGTCTCTACTAAAAATACAAAAAATTAGCCAGGCGTGGTGGTGGGTGCCTGTAGTCCCAGCTACTCGGGAGGCTGAGGCTGGAGAATGGTGTGAATCCAGGAGGTGGAACTTGCAGTGAGCTGAAATTGAGCCACTGCACTCCACTCCAGCCTGGGCGACAGAGCAAGACTCCGTCTCAAAAAAAAAAAAAAAAAGTCTAGAAGAAGTAATAAATATCAACTTTGGGTGACATACTATGGTGGTAAGGGTTATCATTGCCTTATCTAGTGGGAATCAATGTCGTTGGCAGCCAACATTTTGGAATCTTGTAAGCCCTGTTAAATATTTGGCACAAGAGTTGAGACACTGCTTAGCCCTTGAGAGGTAGGATAGATGGGTAAGGACAAAGGAGGCAGAATTAAGAGTTGTAGGGCTGGCTAGGCATGGTGGCTCACACCCGTATTCCCAGCACGTTGGAAGGCCAAGGTGGGCGGATTATGAGGTCAGGAGATCAAGACCATCCTGGCTAGCATGGTGAAACCCTGTTGCTACTAAAAATACAAAAAGAAAAAATTAGCTGGGCATGGTGGTGGGTGCCTGTAGTCCCAGCTACTCGGGAGGCTGAGGTAGGAGAATGGCGTGAACCCAGGAGGCGGAGCTTGCAGTGAGCCAAGATCACACCACTGCACTCCAGGCTGGGTGACAGAGTGAGACTCCGTCTCCGAAACAACAACAACAACAACAACAACAACAACAACAACGAAGAAAAGGGACAACAACAACAACAACAACAACAACAACGAAGAAAAGGGGCCTTGGGGCTGTAGGGCTGCAGTCCAAGAAAAAGGCAAGTAGGAAAGTTTATTTAGGTTTGCTAAGGCTGAAAGACTGCTCCAAAGCACACAGAGTTTAATAGAGAGGCTATATTTACTGTAAAATTGAGCTAGAAATTAATGAAAGAAAAGAATCTGGGGCATGTTAACAAAAACTAATTTTTGAACTTGCATAGAGATGTTAATTTAAATTTATCAAATGATATTCCATTTATCATGCTTTATGATGGACCTATATGCTGATGAGGAATGACAATTATTTGCAAAAAATATAGTGCAAACCTACTGTTTTCTTCATAGGTAGATCAGATTGTTTGTGTTACATAGAAATGACAAAGGTTTTACATAGAAAACATTACACAGAATGAATATGTTCCTGAAGGTAGATCAAAGAAAGAAATCCTTTTATATTATTATATTTTTATACCCAATGCTCAGACATTCATTGAGAATATGACATAATAATGAATTAAATCTCTTCCATGCCGTACTATAACACCCCTAAAATACAGTATTTTCTTCTAGGTTCTGATGGTCAGTGAGAAATTTGATTTACAAGATTAATTATTAAAAAATGCTTGGAGTTTCTCATCTTCAGGTTAGTACTACAGTGTATAATAACAAAAAATGTTGTTGTAAATACATAATGATTAATCATAAGTAATGGGCTGATCCTGAATTGATGTATGATTTCCAATTTGGTAGGTTCTACATTTTGTCACTGGTCATAATTCCAAAGCATTAAAAAACTCATTTAATAGCACAAATTCTAGATTTTTTCTTTTCTATTCCTTCTTTTTAGAGCCAGCTCTCCTAGTTATTTTTTAATGCCAGTCTATTATGATACATGAAATGCATTACATCTTTACTGTACTGGCAATAAAATTCTAGTAACATGCATTAAAACCAATTAGTAGACCTGAATATCTCCTGATCTGATGAATGAGAAAAGGAGGGTCTACATGTATCTATTTCAGATATTATACATTGAATTCCAGACTGGGAGATGCCCGTGTCTATGTTGACACAACAGAGATTTGTCAGTCCTCCTCAGAACTTCTCTTTATTTGAAAAGCATTCAGGAACTTTTCCAGCATGTGTTATTAAGAAAACATAAAAGGAAGATTAACAAAGAAGAAGAAGAATAGAAAATAGATAACCCTGTTGATAAGATGAACTTCATTTCTATCAGCTGGTTACTGAAGCAGGAAATAGAGGCTTTTCTAATGAGGCAGTGGGCTATTCCTGCAATGTTTCTAAGCTATTTTATACTGGGGAGAGGGAGTTTTTCCTGTGGTCATCATAACAGGAAAAGGTACAAGACTTAAGGCTGTCAAGATCCTATGAATGTAATAATAATTGTTCCCAAATTGCTTTTCTCTGTTCTTTTTCTTGTTAGGTAAGGTAATATTTTAATATAATTAAATATGTTCAGACATTTCTGATCTAATCAAATAAATTAAACTGTGAAATAGATTTACTAAAAAATATAACAAAAGATCATAAAATATTGATGTTAAACTTTAGTGTTTTATTCCCATTTTAAACCTCTTTTTCCCAAAAAACTCAGGATATTTGAATTTTTTAAACAAGCAGGAAGATATGCATTTTAAATATGTATACTCTTAGAAGAGAAAAAGTCATTTTGAGGAGATATGTCCATTCTGGAGGAGGAGAATTAGAGGAGCTCCCACAAAATATATATATTATATTTACGCATAATATATATATATACACACATATATCACTTATTGGCATAATTGCATGTGCACATACCTTCTAAGTTTGATTATAACTAGTTGCCTGTACCTCCTGGATTTATAGCTAACAGCGGACTGTAATGTTTAACAGTGACATTGTGTTATCATCTATTTCACAAAATGCAAAATAAATGATGGTATAGAATTTTGTGCACTGTTAAATTTTCATAAGAATGTATATACTGTCACACATATATATCAATAATTCATTCTAGATAGTATAATTCTTCCAGTGACTGGTGCATAGCTGTATAATTGTATGTTTGTATAATGATGATGACAATTTGTGTCATTTTAAAGAAATTCGAGTAGTATTTTATAACTTTTGAATATAGGATTAAATTATTCATCAAACTAATTTTAATGTTTAATTTATTTAATGTATTTATTTATTAAAAATGTTTAATTTTTTTGCCCAACAATTATATCAATTGCGTTTTCCTTGGGCCTTTAAAGAGTGGACATGTTTCTCCATTTGTTGTTAATGGATTAATCTGATCATTTGGCCATTTGAAATTAATTTCAATCACTGCATTATCTATTCTTCATTCTGGTTTAGTAGCTACATGCAAAAACATGGATCATCGAAATTAACCCGAGTATATCAGCATCTGTTCACTAGTGCATAATTTATAATAGCAAAGTATCATGAATATCCTCCATGTCCACAATATAACGTTTCTTAAATAAGTAAGGAAATATCTAAACAATGAATTTTATGACTCTGAAGAACTTTTATAAAAAGCAAAATGATCACAAATTTGTAAAACATAACCTCATTCTTCAAAGTCTTGTATTCAAAGAAAAATTTCTAGATGGAAATAGTAGTTAGCTCTAGTTGCTGTTATTATCAAGATGGTTACTTTTTTTTTAATATACCTTTGTATTTCCAGACATTTTTGCTGTGACCATATAGTTACTTAAGATTAGAAAAATAAGCATTATTTTAAAATACAAATATTTATCCTTAATAAAATAAATAATGGATACACCATAAAATCTGCTCATCTCTTTTCTTTCTCTCCTACCTGATCAACTTGTTTACTGGAAAATATTAATTAAGAATCAAGAAAACAGTGGAATTTGATTGATTCAGTGGAGTGCAGCCAAGCTTTTCAGCTGCCAAGTTTAGTGCCTGAAGTTCTTTCTGCTGGCATCAGAACCAGATCTCCACATGAGCGGGTTGGTCTTAGTGACTCTTCACAGATCTGATCTTCTTCCTAAGCTGGTTAATGACCTTATCATTTTGCCAGTCATCCAGGTTTAGGTCTTCTCTTCAGGGTTATCTTTTCCCCCTTACTTTCTACTCCCTCTGTTGCTGCTACAGTTCAGGATGATGTAATCTCTTTCCTAACTGTTCTATCTCCTTGAATTCACCTGGTACATTACTGCCTGATGAATCTTCTTAATATAAGTCCTTAAACACATCATTACATCCTTACAGCACTACTGAAGTCCAAACTCCTCAGATTGACACTATAGGCCCTCTGTAATCTGATCTCAAACAACATTTCCCCCAAATCTGCTACTATTCCACTCACACATCTGACGACCTAGCCAAACTGAAGTAGGAACCACCCACCAACTCTGTTGTAGGGATTCCTCTTCCTCCTCACAAAAAATGTATGCCACTTCGTTTACTATCCTAATTAAAATTCTACCTATGATTCAAGATTTAGTGAACTATGAGTTTCCAAAGGATAGAGCAAATGTATTCAGCTTTGTATCTCATTGTTGATTATAGAACTTTGCAAGTAAGAAGTGCTCATTGCCCATTTGCCACATAAATGCACACATTTCAAACCACGTGTTTACCACAGTCTTCTTTTATCACCAGAAGTGCTTTTCCACCCTCTGAGTACACAGAGATCTCTGCATCTCTATCTCAACACATATCATACTTGAGCTTATAGTGTTTTAATGGAAGACAGGGACAATCCCAGCTTAAGGCCCTATACTATGCTCAGACCAGTATTCAGTTACATCAGGACATGTCTAGAAGACTAGTATAAGGGCCTGCTAGGACCCATATGAAAGACGGCTTAAGAGTCTTTTTGTGGAAAATAATACTGATACTCAGGAAACAACGATTCAAGGAGTATGACTCAAAAACATAGAAGTTTCATATTTGCCAGTAGGTATTGCTAGGCACTATGAAAAACATGCCTGCTAAAAACAGCTAATGATGCTTCTTTTTGTTAAACATACTAACAAGATGACAAAATAACAGTAAATACTAAGAGGACAAAACAAATGAGTGAAGGTAAGAATTTGAAGAAGAAGAAAAATCAAGAAGGGTTTTTTTTTTTTACTTTTCAATAGATGTTATTTTTTTCAGGCAGTTTTAAGTTCACAGAAAAATTTAGCAGAAAGTACAGAGATTTTCCATCCTTCTTTCACACATACATAGCCTTTTCTATTATCAACATCCTCCACCAGAGTAGCATATTTGTAATAGTTGATAAAACTACATTAACACATCATCATCTCTCAAAGTCCATGGTTGATATTAGGGTTCACTCTTGGTATTGTACATTCTGTGGGTTTGGACAAATGTATAATGGCATGTATCTACCATTATAGTATCATATGGAACAGTTTCACTGCCCTGAAAACCCTCTGTGCTACACTTTTTCATCCCTTCTGCCACAATATCCTCTGAAAACCACTGATCTTTTTATTTTCTCTGTAGTTTTGCCTTTCCATGTAGTTGGAATCATACAGTATGTAGTCTTTTTAGACTGGCTTCTTTCACTTAGTAATGTGTATTTATGTTTGCTCCATGTTTTTTCATGGCTTGACAGCTTATTTCTTTCAGCACTGAATGATATTCCATTGTCTAGAGGTAAACCTAGTGCATTTATCTATTCACCTACTGAAAGACATCTTGGTTGCTTTCCTGTTTTAGCAATTAAGGAAGTAGATTTTAACCTTGAGCATATTTACTGATTTAAGTGAACCTCAGCCTCAATGTTGACAGTTTCATAGGGCATGAAGGACAGGAGACAAAGCCCATGGTATAGAGTCTAATAGGAGACCACGAGAATGAAGCTGGGAACCCGACGGCTATACTCTTAGTGAACAAGAAACACACAGGACCCCTCCCAAGGGATTGTAAAGAAAAGTGTTGCCTTAGTCCATTTACACAGCTAGGACAGAATATCAAGACTGGGTAATTTATAATACAAATTAAAAGAAGTTTATTTGCCTCATGGTTCTGGAGGGCTGGGAAGTCTAAGCTGGAGGGGCCAGCATCTGGTGAAGAACCTCATGTTGCATCATCCCACGGTGGAAGGGCAAAGAGAGGGCAAAAGAGAGACAGAGAAAAAGGGACCAAATGCACCATTTTTTAATGAACCCACTGCTGTAATAACAAACCCACTCCCATGGTAAGAGCATTAACGCATTTGTGAGAACACAGCCCTCATGGTCCAATAGCCTCTCATCAGGTCCACCTCCCAATACTGCAGTATGGGAGATTAAATTTCCAACACATGCTTTTTGGGGGACACATTCAAACAGTAACAGTTGCCTATTATACATTTTGGCCTGAGTGAAAAGGAAAAAAGTCTCACTTGAGAATGTACCAATAATAAACTGGGCCTTATGGAAACCTCACAGAAGTTTGCAGTTCAAATTCACACTAACTTGTGAATGTGTCTAAAATAGTTCAAGCTGATAATTAAGCTTAAAAAACTCCTAAGAGGGTAATATCTTCAGAAGTCTGGCAGAAACAAACACACTTTGTAACCAGAAACCCAGGTCAAAGGGTCCCAGAGATAAAGTTAAAATGAGCTTACAGTCAAATTTCACAAAATACACAAAGAAACAACGCATCATGAGTGAGATCCAGCAACAGAAAAAAGTAGTTGCATAATTGCAAAGCCATTAGAAATATACAGAGATTTAACATAACAGAAGAAATATGAGAAGGGATTGCAAATATAAGTAAAGAGTTAGTATAAAAATAACTAACATGAAGAAAGAAGAATTTATAAACATTAGAACTGTAACAATTGAAATGAAAATTTAATGGATGCATTTAACCACAGGTTGGACATACCTGAGGAGGGAAATTACTCAACTGGAAATTAGTGAACTAGAAGGTAGATTAGACAGAATTATCTAGAATGCACACAAAGACACAAAGAAATAAAAACTAGGAGATAGTAGTTAGGAAATATGGAGATAAAGACAGAATATTGTGTAACTGATGAAAAGTGCTAATCCACAGATGCAGAAATAACCTTCTTCACTATGTATTGTATTTATATTATGGATCAGTAAATACATGGTGGAAAGATATCTTTATTGTGCTGAGACAAAACATCTGCAAACCTAGAGTTCTATACCTAGGGAAAAGATCTTTTTGGAACAAGGGTAAAGTAAAGATATTTTCAGACAAACAAAAAACCTAAGTATTTTGCCAATAGCAGACTGTAACTAAAGGAAACTTTAGGAGATGTACATGGATGGAGCTGGAAGCCATTAGCCTCAGCAAACTAATGCAGGAACAGAAAAACAAACAATGCATATTCTCACTTATAAGTGGGAGCTGAACAATGAAAACACATGGACACAGGGAGGGGAACAACACACACTAGAGCCTGTGAGGAGTGAGGGGAAGGGGGAAGGGGGAGCATCAGGAAAAATAGCTAATCCATCCTGGGCTTAATACCTAGGTATTGGGTTGATAGGTGCAGCAAACCACCATGACACATCTTTACCTATGTAACAGACCTGTACATCCTGCACTTGTACCCCGGAACTTAAAATAAAAAAAAAAGTTAAAAAGAGATGTGCAAATTCAGAAGATAAATTCAGATGGAAGGTCTGTGGTTTAAAAAGGAACGAAAAGCAAAGAAAATCTAACCAAATCTGGAATGTATATAGCAACTTATAATGAGTATAATAGCTTAAAAAGTTAAAATAATGCCAGAAGGAATTTAAATGCTTATGAAGGTAACATATGAATCAGCCAGAGAGTGGATACAATTTAAGTGTTCCTGACTCCTTTTATTGTTTAAGGAAAGTAAAAGAATTAATTAATTTTGAAATTGTTAAACTCAAATTTCTAAGATAAGCACTAAAAGAATAGAAATAGTATATATTACTTCTAATTCAACAGAGAGAAAAAAAATTGGATGAGAAAAATAGTCAATCAATTCACATAAAAGATTTTTAAAAAGGGAAGAAGAAACAGAAAAGGCAAAACAAGAGAGGCATAGTATGATGTAATGTAATTAAATACAAATTTGTAAATAGTTATAAGTAAATAATTATAAGTGTAAATAGAACAAAAGATAGAAAATGACAAAATGGAAATGTGGACAAGAACCACCACCACTTGCAAAGCAATAATAATCCAGCTATACAAAAAATGCGTAGGAAACACCTGTAATTAGAAGCTTCAGGAAGTTAGAAGAAAAACATCTAAAACACAATTCAGAAAAGTTGAAAGTAAAATATTGGTAAAAGATACGCCACAAAATACTTAGAGAAGCTGGTATAGCTATATTTTCAAATAAAAAATACTTTTGGACAAACAGCATCACAATAAATAATGAGGGTTACTAAATTTTTTAAAAAGTTAAACTGAGGCTGGGCTCAGTGGCTCACGCCTGTAATCCCAGCACTTTGGGAGGCTGAGACAGGTGGATCACAAGGTCAGGAGTTCAAGACCAGCCTGACCAACATGGTGAAACCCTGTTTCTACTAAAAATACAAAAAGTAGCCAGGTGTGGTGGCACTCGCCTGTAATCCCAGCTACTCAGGAGGCTGAGGCGGGAGAATTGCTTGAATCCGGGAGGGGGAGGTTGCAGTGAGCCAAGATCGTACCACTGCCCTCCAGCCTGGGGGACAGAGCGAGACTCCATCTCAAAAAAAAAAAAGAAAAGAAAAAGTTAAGCTGACCAGGAAGAAATAAATATTTCTGAACTTGGATGTACCTCAATTCATGATCCTGAATTGTAGAAAAAAAAATGACAGAATTAGAAGTAGACTTTGACAAATCTATTAACATAATGGTAATTGATAGATCAATTAGGCAATACACTTTAGCATGTAGATGATTTGAACAATATGATTAACAGGTTGATCTAATGTATAGTTATAGACCATTATCCCCAATAAATGCAAAAAATATATATATTTTTCAAGCATGAATTAATCTTTCATGAAAAATGTTCTCCTCAACATAATAATAGCAAAAACATTACATTTAATTTGTACTAGGCAGTGTTACAAGCAATTTAGAATACATTTAGTCCTCACAACAATTCTAAGGGTTTGGTATATAAATATTCCCTTTTTATATATGAGAACGCTGAGGCACAAAGAAGTTAAGTGATTTTTCCAAGGTCATACAATCCAAAAATGGAAGAGCTGGGATTTCCGAAGTCTGTACTCTTACCTACTATGTAATATTGCAGAAAAATATGCACTACTTGGGAATTAAGCTAATAAAAATATGTGTAATCATATGGAGAAAATTATAAAATCTGTTGACAAATATTAAAGAGGACCTAGAGAAAAGAAGAACTCATGTTCATGATTTGGAAGAATCAATGGCAAAAAGAGTCAGTTCTTCCTAAGTGGATGTATAGATTCAAAATCTATAACATTGTTGTAGACATGCAAAGTTAATTCAAAAATGTATATGAACTACCAAACGACAAAGAATAATGAAGATATTTGTAAGAATAAAGTAACAGGATTAGTCAGCCAGCTACCAAGACTTCTTATAAAGATATAACAATTTAAGACAGTGTAGTATGACACAGAGTTTGACAAAATGACTCATGGGACAGATTGGAGAGACCAGAAACGGACTCATACATATACAGAAACTTGATTTATGATGGAGTTATAACTACATACCAGGTGAAAAATGGACTTTCAATTAGTAGTACTGAGTAAATATGTTGTACATATCAGAAAAATAAATTTAGGCCCCAAATTCTAACCACAGTAAAAAATAATCTCTGTGGGTTAAAAATTAAAGTAAAAGGCCAAATTGTTTTTAAAAATTTAGAATACAAATAGAAACTACTTTTTCTTTGCGAAAGAAAGATTTTTTTAGACTAGATAGAAGAATCATGAACCATAAAAAAATTAATATATTTTACTGCATTAAAATTAGGAACTTTTGTTTATCATAAATACTATGGCAAATACTAAGCAAAAAGCAAGTCACACACCGGGAAATAGTGTTTGTATTTGCAGCACATGAAGAGTTGATTTTAAAATATATAAAGAGCTAAAAAGTAAATAAACAAAAAACAGTCCATATAGAAATTAGCATTATAAGAAAGAAGAAAACAGAACAGGCCAATAAACATACTGAAGTGATGCGGAAGTGCTGTGTAGAAAACAGCATGGTCCCTTTAAATGATAAGGAAGTGGGGAAGGGAAGTGCTGGGGAGGGAAGGTGGTCCCTAGCTAGGGCTCCACCTCCACGGACCTAGGTGGGAACAGGCATTTTTCTTTTCCTGCCCAAATGTTGCATTTCCCAAGACCACCCTGGCCTGCCATGGCCCCATCCTGGGCCTATAAAAGCCTAAGACCCTAGCAAGCAGACACACAAGAGGCTGGACCTCAGGAGGAGCAGATTGGCGGAAGAAGATAACAAACACGTGCATGTTGACAGAAACACATCGGAGGAGGAACACACAAGCAGCTGGACTTGGAGAGGACGTTGTAAGCACCGACAGGCACTGGAACTCCGGCAGGCCATCCACTGGCGGAATGACGTGGAGTTTGGCTGGGGCGGTTGGAGGAGAGCCCAGGCAGCTGAGTGGCCCTACTCCGAGGGAAAATCATCTCCCTTCTGGCTCCCTCATCTCCTGAGAGCTACTTCCACTCAATAAAACCTTGCACTCATTCTCCAAGCCCAGGTGTGATCCGATTCTTCAGGTACACCAAGGCAAGAACCCGGGATACAGAAAGCCCTCTGTCCTTGCAACAAAGTAGAGGGTCTAATTGAGCTAGTTAACACAAGCAGCCTATAGATGGCAAAATTAAAATAGAGCACCCTGTAACACATGCCCACTGGGGCTTCAGGAGCTGTAAATATCTACCCCTAGACACTGCTGTGGGGTGGAAGCCCCACAGCCTGCCGGTCTGTATGCTACCCTAGGGGTTTGAGCAGCAGGGCACTGAAGAAGCGAGCCACACCCCCATTGCACTCTCTGCCAGAAGGACAAGGGAACTTTTCCCATTTCAAAAGGATCCTCAACGTCATTCGATATCACCAGAAGGAAGATTTTAAACCAACTGGAGAAAATTAAAAGTCAGGGAAATCATAAGTCCGATCATGCCCACCCAGTGTTTGTGAGAATGTGGTGCTCTGGGAGCACCTCCACATAATTAGTATGAGTCAGAATTGCTCAAGCACTAACTTCTTAGTAAATATATTATAAAGATCTGCATATCCTATGCCCAGGAGTTCCCCCAGAGAACTCTATTAATATGCACCAGTCTATGCATAAAAGAATGTTCACAGCACATTGTAATATTACAAAACTAAAACACCCAAACGCCCACCAAGTGAATACATAAACTGCACCATTTTAAAAAATGTTAATCCCATATAGCAGTGAACACGAGTGATTTCCAGCTACACATTACAACTTGGATGACCTAGGAACTTTGTTCAGAATTTTCGGAAAAAAATACAGGTTTCAGAAGAACCATACTGTATTCAATATTTTTCCATGTATATAAACATGCAAAGTTAAATAACACATTATTTAGAGCTACAAACTTATGTGGCACAATTATAAAGATAAACAAGATAATAATAAACATAAAATTCAAAATAGTGGTTCAGGCATGCACAGAACTGCAATGTCATGATCATGCTCCTTTTCTAAACGTGAGCGTTGGGTAGACGGCATTCACTGAATCTTTGTTCAAAGGCAAGTTGATATTGTAGCATAGTATTTATCACTCAGAGTATTGTAGATCTGCCATGGAAGTCTTATGCCGTTGTTCTAAAAGTATAATAGATAAATAGTGAGAATGAAAGACCCATTTCAACTCTTGATAGCACCAAAAGCATAAAGACAGACACAGGTTGCTTCTTCTCCTTGAGGTAATTGTTGGAACATGGCATGGCATTACACCGTGATCTGGGCAACCTGTCTGAACCAGTCAGAAGTGGAGAGAAGGAAAGAGAGTGGGCATCAGAACATTAGGTCCAGAAGAGGATATGATCAGCACAGTTGAAGCCAGAGAGAAGGAAAATGTCAGATTTCATGGAATAGCAACAAAAGAGTTTGAGATCACATATGACACATACCCTGAGGACACTCAGAATCTTCTGGAAGGATTTTGAGGAGTGATTTGAGGAACTCCCACAAAAACATAGGAAGAGTAGAGTCAGGAAAATAGTTTTATAACTGCCTAAGGTTGGCATTTTCTAAGATAACTGGGCAACTGTTATTTGTGACTTATAATGAATAATAGATATTAATTCACTGTGGCCAGAAGGTGCATATATCTTTTATCCTAGTAGTACCTTATAAAATGTAAAAGAATAAACACTTTTTGCATAAATGCATAAATGTGTGTGTCTGATGCTAGATATTAGGGATATCATCTTTTAAAAAAAGGAAGTTGCATGATTATGGTAGCACTAAAGTGCTCTTGAATTAGTTGGTCTCCTAATACTATTTGGTGTAACCAAATTTAACTCAATATCTCATCTAGGACAATATGGCCATGGAAAGAGGACTGTGCAAACACGTTTCCTTCAGCTTATAAAGGGAATGAGAAATGAGTGTAATACAGACAGTAATTTGGTACACTTGGAAATCCAGAAATTCACACACACACACACAAACACACACACACGTGCACATGCATGCACACTCCTCTTGAATATATACCAGCCCTAGAAAGCTCAGTCCTTTTCAGCTTGGCGATGCCACTGGTATCCAGCACCCCAGGAAGTCACTTTCTCTGAATGCTCCTGGCTAAAATGCGGAGATTCTGCAAATTACTTCTGTAATGGGCAATGGAGAGGAAAAAGTGGATGAAATTCAACATAGGAAAAGCCAATTTGAGTACTATAAAATGTTTTCTAATGATGGAGTCTATTAGGTCTTGAAATAATCTCAGCAGGAGAATGTGAAGGCTGTAGCAAAAAAAAAGGACTTAAAAAACTGCAATAAAAATTTTGATTTAAACTGTCAATAGGGCAAATGTCTGCAGCAGATGAAAGGCAGGACCTTCAGAACATTACCAGGGTTATAACACTTTTTGAAAACTTATGTGTTAAAGAATAAAACCTTACAATTTACTGCTGTGTGCCGGAAAGTAAAGGAAACTGTAGTTTCAAAGAACTGTTATTTTCTTTCTATAAGAAAAATCAGTTTAATCTTCAAAAATATGTTTTCTCAACACAAACAATGCGAGGCAGGATGGTCTGGAGCTAAAAAGCAGTGGATGTGAGTCTGCCGTAATTAGAGTTTGTCTAATATCTCATGTTTTTAAAAACAACTCAAGAATTTTTGAGTTTCCACAATGAATGGAAGTTTTGCTGATGACCACACAGTGGGCAGACCTAAGTCCTGCTGTTGCTCTATTAAGAATTTGGCTCTTTCCTTTCTAGGTTTTACAAGCAATGTGTTCATATACATAAATAACCACAATCTCATTTGTAAAGAGAAAATAAAGAAAAAGTTTATGTACAGAGTGCACTGTGGAGACTTCACATAAGCCCTGGAGGGTCCTCTGAGACTTTCATTTCTTTCTTTCACAAAAGCAGAAGATGAAGTTTAAGTGCCTTCCTGTGTATTTAATTTAAAGATACCAGCCACTCTATTGTTCAGAACTAAGTCCTAAAAACAAAAACAAAAACAAAAACAAAAACAAACAAACAAAAAACCCCCCAAAAACGGCTCCTTATTCCTCAGACACCATCCATGCATGAGGTGATGAACATTTTAGGATTTTAGAAGTAGGCACTACTGTAATCTATTTCACAGAATTTACTACCCTTTTTGCTAAATGGCTACAGAGAATTGATGAAGTTCATGCCGTCTCTTTTAAAGCTATTGAAACTCTTCAGTTGTGAAAATAGCCTAATGAAAGTAGCCTCTTTATCCTCCTCCTGCACTTGCAGACTGGTCTGGAATGAATATCTCACATAGGTAGGCATAGCCTCAATGTGTTTTGGGGGCTATTTGGGTGGAAATAGAAAAACCTCAGAGTGAGACAGAATCAGTCTAGAGGTAAACAGGCTGCAAATGCTGGCAGCTGTGCCGTTACAAATAAGCCTGCATTCCCCACTGTCGTCTCACTTATCAATTTTGACAGGTGACTGTCTTGGCTCCTTAGAACATTTATCAAGGAGGACACATTGTGCTGAATGTCAAGCTTGCCCAAATGACTTTGGTCAGTGGTTGGCTATAAAGAAAATTTGGCTCATAACCACTTGTCACGCATGGGAAAGATAACAGTTGACTTAAATAATGTGTGCTTATTTTAAAAAGCCCTTATTTACTTATTTGACTCAATCCTCTTCTATTCTCAACGTTCTAGTTATTTTCATATCCCAACTGGTCTATAAAAATTGGCCCCTCATTTATTGCTTTTCTTTGGGTTTTGTTCCTGCAAATTCCTACAAAAATGGGTCTATCTGGAATGCTAATCTGACCTCCATCACACTTCTTCTAATATGGAATTGCTGTCCCATTACCTGTAGCGTAAAGTCCAAGTTTCTCATTATGAAAAGGCTTTTCCTTATATGGTCCTGCCCATGGTCCAGTCATGTCTTTCTTCACTTCTTGTAACATAATTCTCCTGTTAGACTGACCTATTTGCATTTCCTGGAACCTCCTGTGCTTGTCAGTGCCTTCACCTTTCCATTTGCTCTTGCCTTAAATGTCTGCCTGGTCAAAATTCTGCTCAGGTATCATTTCCTCACTGCCCATTTCCCAAAGAGTCAGCCACTGACTTCTCTGTACCACATCTGTATTTTATTATTGTGAATGTCTCACGGTAGTGTAATTATATATGTCTTCCCGTTTCCACATCTACATCTAACAGAAGACAGTGCCTTATTTATTTTGGCTTACCAATGTTCAGCATTGAACCTGAAACTGTATTGCTCAAAAATATTTATTGCTGAACTTAATTGGGTCACTATGGCTTTCAGATAGCTGAAAGGAAAGCATCAGTATATTACAGTAGAAGTGGAAGTCATTTCAAAATCTTTGGATGTAAGAGCAAAATTTAGTAAAATATCAAAAAAATTTAACACTGTGTATTTAATTACATATTATGGGAATACCATGATCTGTGTTTGTATGCATAAGAATTAGACTGTGAAGCAGCAAAATTTTATATCTTTGACTACTTATGTGCATAAAGTTGTAAAACTAAGAACTGAGACAAATGTCTGATAGTAGGGTGTGTGAAACTTAAAAAGCAGTGAAAAACAAGTATTTTATAAATATTTTGCAAAAATTTCTTCAATTTGTGTTTATGTTTAATAACAACATTAATTTATTTTGTCAGGACTTTCCTTATGCTCCACATTCCAACAATTACCATCATGTTTTAAAATAAGCAAGGCAACTCTTCGTGCATTGGAAATTATGAGAAATCCTTGGAAAATGAAAAGCAGAAGGGATTATGTTAAAGCCTTAAGCTAAGGCAAGATCAAATGAGAACCAAGAGGTTTATTCTCCAGCACTTGTGAACCAGAGAGTCTCTGAGCTTGGAGATTCCAGACAAATGGGATGAAGGGGTGCCATGCACACTGAGGATTCCTGCAGCCCCATCCTCCCTGCCAGCTCAGAATGCCAAGAGCCACAGGTCAGCTCTCTTAAGCCTCCCCATAGCTCTAAGACATATGGTTTTAGTAGCCCCACATTTAGATACAGGAAACTAGCTTTAGTCCAGATAGAGCTGTCCTAGAATTGGAAGGAAGGGCAGTGTGGTATTATGGAGGCAAAGGAGAAAGAGCCTCTCAGGAACATGCAATGGCCAAGTACACCAGGTGTTGTTGAGATTATAAGGTAGTGGAAGGTAGGACTGGATTTGGTCTTTCAACTATTTCTCATCATCCTCAAATCAGATTTCAATGGGTTGAGAAATAAATGAGATTTTTTAAAAATGGCAGAGAATCAAAGTACTATTTTACGATGTTTGGGAAAAGGGACAATAGAGAATATGAAAGTCAAATATACAAATGGGCTTAATTTGAATTTTTTTTTTTGATGAAGGACACTTGAATATATTCAGACCTACTATGTTTCTCAGAGCATTCTTCCTTGTGCATGGCTCTGAATCATGTTTCAAGTGCTTGTACTCGGACCCTATCATCCACAAGGTATGGAGTTTCTTTTCCATTTTTTCCTTTCTTCATAAATATTCTCTACTATAGGTGATGAAATTGAGACTTACAATGGTTAAATGATGGAATAGAGATATATAACAAATCTACGTAGATCTGTCTATACCTATATCTATCTTACATATCTATATTCCATCATTTATATGGTTTCATATGTGTATATGTGGCATATACTTACACTATGAGTTTATATATACATACATATATATTTACATATATTTCACATATGTGTCAGCCATGATATTACATGTTCTTATATATTATCTCATATAATCCTATGAAGTATGTATTATTAATATTATCTTTTCACAGGTAAAGAACCTGAGTGTCAGAGACGTCTCACAAGTACTAAGCAGTGAAGCTTGATTTGAGTTCACTTCAGGCTGATTCCAGAAATAGTGAAATATAATTCCTCCTCAAATAAGCGATACAATTAGACCTCTAGTTTGTTGGTAATAAAATTTTGAAAGTCTGTCTTTGGCCTTTTTCTCTCCCCTGGGACTCTCTCATCCAGGCCTGGTATCTCCCTGAGTGCTGTATTGCAATAGCGGCCCACTCAGCATCTTTATATGCATGTCTAAGAGGTCTCTGAAACCCAATGTGCCCTAAAACTCCTGATTTTTGCCTCCTAATTCCCCACACCACACTTTCCCTCCCTCAGTTTTCCTCCTTTTAGGAAATAGCTATCTAATAGCTCAACTTCAAAAATGAAGAAGCTGCTTTCAACTCCTTTGTTTTCCTTATTCCCATAATTAGTCAATCAGCAATAATGTCTGTCATGTTTCAAAAATATTCACTGGCTTCTCTTCCCTTCTACTAACTGACCAAATCACCATCTGCTCTCACCTGAATTAACACAATCACCTCTTACTTACCACCTTTCTCTGTGTCCTTACCAAACTTGACAGTGTATTCGCCAAAAGGCAGCCAAAGTTATATTTTTAAAATAGAAATTAAAATAAAATAAAATATAAAAATAGAAATCATGCTGTTTCCTTCTTAAATCCCTCTAATATCCTTTTATTTCACTTATAATAAAATCCATAAGCCTTATGATTTGCAAGGTCCTGAATTATCGGGCCTGTAATTCTCCCCTGTCTTCTATAAACACCATTCCAACAACTCTGGCCTTTTTCTTTGCGTAGTACATTGAGCTCCTTCTTTCCTAAGGGACTCTGAACTCTATACTTTCCCTTTCTGTAGATGAGCATCTGCTCTGGAGCCAGGCTACCACAATGTGAATACCAGCTCCTCCATTAACCCACTATGAACAGTTCTTGACCTTTTCTCTGCCTCAGTTCTTTCATATGTAAAATGGGAATAGTTATAATACCTGTCTCATACTGTTGTAGTAAAGCTTAAATGAGTTAATATGCCATTGGGATTTTGATAGGAATTGCATTGAATCTGTAGATCACTTTTGGGTAGTACAGACATTCTAAGAATATTAATTCTTCCAGTCCAGGAACATGAGATGTCTTTCCATTTGTCTGTGTCTGCTTTAATTTATTTCAATATTATTTTATGCATTTCAGGGTACAAGTTATTTGCCTCCTTGGCTATACTTATTCCTAAGTATTTTATCTTTAATGCTGTTGTGAATGAAATTGTTTTCTTAATTTCCTTTTCAGACAGTTCCTTGTTAGTGTACAGAAGTGCAACTAATTTTTATATGTTGATTTTGTATCCTGCAACTTTACTAAATATGTTTATGGCATAGGTTGTGGTGATGATTTCATAAGTGTATACTTCTCTCCAAGCTCATCAAGCTGTACACATTAAACATGCACAGATTTTATATGTTCATACCTCTATAAAGTGGCTTAAAAATGAGTACATGAGTCAATATACACTAGTACTTTCCAGCAAGGGATAGTTGTTGTTATTGGTGAAGATTATTATTCCTTTTGATCTTTGTGTGGGTGGTTCTTTCTTTCAGTTTTCAGCTTTCAGAGATGCCTTCTTTGGCTATTCTGTCTGTACTTGTCCCATACTGGAATTTCACACTATTTTCTTCCTAACACTATCTTCATCTGAGATTTTCTTACTTCTCTTAATTTTTATTGCTTCTTTCCATTTTGAATACAAACTCCAGGAGAGCAGTGGCACCATGTTGTTGCCCCCTGTGTTCCCAGTACCTGAGACAGTCTCTAATACGAACTAGGTGCTTAATAAATATTTGCTGAGCAATGTGTGAAGTCACAGGCTCCAACTAACACTTAAAGGCTGACATTCTTAGCTCTGAACTCCACTGAGCTCACTATGTTTGGCTGTAACTCCATGTGTCCATCTACTTTCTAGACGCTTCCACGTGAATGTTCCCATGTCTCAAATTGTCCACAAGCAAACCTATAGCTATGCTCCTTCTCCAGCATTTTCTTCCTCAGTCAACAGCATCTACATGAGAGGGACCTTTCAGCTAATTGGGAAAACTGGCAGCCATTTTTCTCTCAGGGCCACGAAATGATGGCATATATCTGAATATATACATATCTACCATGTATGTGCCAGTCAGGACTACACGTTCTCATATATTATCACATTTAATATTAACAAATATGTATTATTAATACTATCTTCTTTTCACAGATAAGGAACCCGAGGCTCAGAGGGGTCACACAGGACTAAGCACTGGAGTCTGATTTGAGTGCACTTCAGGCTGATTCCAAATATACCTAAATACAACTTCTCTTCCAATAAGAGTGATACAATTAGATGTCTAGTATCTTGGGAATAAAAGTTTTTGAAGGAATGACTTGTAAATTATTGGGCAAGTTATTTATAGGGAAGAGTGAATGAGGACTTAATGAGGGGAATTTATTTCATATAGTTGGAATATGAGCAAAATAATTTGGGGAATAGAAAGTCTTCTAGAATCCTTTTCACATGATTGATCTGATACTAATCAGCTACTGATCATTTTGAATTATAATATTATGAACGTCTATACTTTATTACCATACAGCTATGCACATGTTTAAGACCATTAAGGAAAGTGACAGGAAATGACCCTAAAGCTAATTTCCCAACATCTGAGAGAACGTATGGCTTTCTTTTCTTTTGGCAGACATAAAGAATAGAACCTGCATATAAAACGGCCAGTCCAGTATTGAAGTGGTGATAATGTTAATTCATTTCCTTCTGTAAGAATCAGATAGTAAAACTAATTGAATATTCACATGTGCTGCCACCTATATGAATTAATCTATGTCTGTGAATTAGTTTACCCATCCTACACTCGGTTGTATTGCATGAGAATGCATTCCAAAAAAATATGTTAAGGTGAATAAATCTAAAAGCTCATCATTTGGGAGACTTAGACCTTCAAGTTAACCCAGAAAAAAGTAAGTCATGGAAAGTCTGCTGGTCATGCAAATTATCTGAGTGAGACAAAGAGAAGTTTGGAGTCCCTTTCACTTTCATTTTGGAGGGAGAGATTTTGTTAATTTCTTTGTCTATCAGACAGGAAGTGATTAAATCATTATTAACTAAAAACATTTAGTGATGTCTCCACACAGGGAATCAGTTTTCTTTTGAATTTCCCAACTGCATTGCTCACATGCTCTTAAAGCATATTTACAACCTTTGCTTAAAAGGATTTGTAACTGTCTTTACTTGGCAGATAGCCATGTACAAGTCAAAGGAAGGAAAAATTCTTTAAGGATTATGAACTTCCTGGCTGCAAAAAAGGCTCAACAGCTGTCAGTGGATCCTCTAGTTACTCATAAACATTCCCTTGGAAAAACACTACCCTTCCAACGGCTATTTAGGAGTCTTAGGCCTCTCTCATAAGATAAACCACAGGTAATCACATAATATGTAGGATGTATTAGTTTTAATTTGTTTATAAAAACAAAGTGAAATACTATATCCTCTTGACAATTACACAGTCTAGGAAAGAACACATACTCAATTACATGCCAAAGGGGAAACTGAATAATGAAATACCAATAACAAGCATACAGTCCTTTTAAAATAATAAAAAAATCATTTCTTAAGAGAAAGAAGAAATTCTTGCCCAGCACTTGCCATTAACTAGCTGTGACAGGTGAATATTTAACCTTCACAGGCTTCAGTTTCCTCTGTCAAGTACATCTGATGTGCTTCTATAGCCTCCTTATGGTTCATATGCACCATGTCAAAGTTCTCTTCATTTTAACTCTCTTTGGTCCAAATATGATGTAATCGTTTTTAATCCATATGTGTTTTTCCATTATTTCAAATTTCTATCTCTAATATCTCTTATTGTGCCTTGATTACTAAAGAACTCTATTCATCTTATACAATGTATAACTTTTTTTTCCCAACAAGCTTTCTACAGCAAATTCCTATTTGGTAACTGCTTCTTATAGAATCCTTCATTCCTACTGAGAAGAATCTGGGACTTTAAAAACCTGGTATGCTCAAGAGAGCAAAAAGAGCAAATGGTGTCAATGTGTTTTACAGAATGAAGAAAAAGTATCAGATTTAACTTCTAACATTTTGCTACTATTGAAATGTTTTGCTAACAAATAGAAATATGAAAAGAGAATATCTGTAAGAGGGCAAGAACAATGAAATGAAAGCACAGGCAAAAGAATATTTGAGAGACTGGTCAATTTTAACTTCGGCTGGTGAATAACTTCTACTGCAGAGCTCCAACTTACAATTAGATTTCGGTTCCAAAACTGTGACTTCTATAATAGCTTGCATCAACACCAAATACAAACATATGTTGCCTTAAATGTCTTATTTTAAGTAATGAAATATGGACATTTAAAATTCAACGATGTCTAGAAGTGCTGTATCTCAGTTCAAGCCAAGTGGTTATCAGCTTTGTGCCTTCATCTTCACATTCTCCTAATCTGTTTCATTTATGATGACTACAGGCGTAGATTATTTGTTGTTGTATTTAAAAATATTACCATCCAGTGCTTCATCTGTAAACATCATTATTACTGCTGACATCTTTCTCTGGGTTTGAAATGAGCCAAAAGATTTATTTGCTCCATCAACACACTTTAAACATGCTACCAGCCAATAATGCGGCTGAGTTAGAGGCTGTGTGTGTGTGTGTGTGTGTGTGTGTGTGTGTGTGTGTGTGTGTCTGTATTTAGGCATGTTTACTGGAAAAGTAAATAATAATTTCAAATTTAAACTACAAAAATATGATCATATTTTCTCTCATATTTAATTTGAAGAACAAAACAACTTTCTGAAAAAGTGAGAGGTATATCCAAAGAGTCTCAGTTCTAAATCCTTTTCGAGATTTATGCTTTAGCTTTGCTAGCCTGCAAGTGTCTTTAAGATTTAGTCATTGCTTCAATCATTCTACCATGTGCAGAGTACTTGGAAGAGAGGGATGCATAAAACAAGGTCAGCCATATTGAAGAAGGTTAGAGACTTTTGGCGGAACCCAAAGTAAGAAAAAACAATAATGGCACATAAGGCAAATGGAAGAGAGGGCAGAGGCCAGAATCTAAGCATTTTTAAAGAAGAATTCAGTACTTCTTTAAGTGAAAAACTGTAACCATATCTTTTGTTTGTCAAATATTTAAGAGTTAAAAAAACTTTTTTGCTTTTGTGTTCTTATTTCTACCTCCGTCATGAAATCAATGGTATAGAACAGTGTGGAGGAAGAGAAGAGGGGATATTCTAGGCAGAGGAAAGCAAGAACAAAAACAAAAAACCAAGAAAACGTCATCCCTGGGGAACTGCAGGCAGTTTGTGTGTGCAGAAGCACAGCGTTCCCACATCACACTTGGATTAGTGGGAGGTGAGCACAGAGAGGCAGATGGGGGGAAGTGCCTCATGTGCTATGGAGTTTACATTTCATTATATAGGCCTGAGTTTTCCAAACTGGAATGTCAGGGGAGCCAGAAAACTACAATTTAAGCACTTTGCATCTTCCTGGAGTATCAATTTGTGAAAGTGGGTGTGGGGAAACCACAATATATCTACTAAGAGGTAAAACGCAAATTTCAAAAGAAAATGAAGCACAAAACTGGCATGAAATTGTTCTTTAGGCCCTACACCCAGACTTGGTGGGCTAAGACCCCTCACGTTCCTCATTTTTCCTCTATGAAAAGGCATTGAAGAGCATTGGTAGAAGCAATAAAAAAAAAATCACTGAAGAATTTTCAGCAGAGGAGTGACACGATCATTCATAGTAAGAAAGAGATGGAGGTGGCAGAGACTAAGATCAGGAAGACGTGAGGGGACTACTGCTTCAGAGGAATTGGGGATAGGGCCTGGCTGTGAAGATGCACCAGGCTCAACTGAGAACATTTTGTGGATGTTGGAGGTGAGAAGTAGGAAGGAATCAGGGCTGCTGTCAGCTTTCTGGTCTGTGCCACTTTACCTAGAAAGCAAGTTTGTTTTAAGGATTAGAGGTGATCTCTAAAGCACGTAGTTGAGAGCCCAGCAACACCGTAAATGCTCAGAACACAGTAACTCTTAGAATTGTGCAGCTGATGAGGCTGTTAAACAGGACAGCATAGAAGAACAAGCAGATTTGGGGCAGAGCATGCTTAATTTAGGAGGCATTTCCTGATTTCATTTAAAATGTCCTTCAACTTTGAAAATTCAAATCTCTTAAAACTTATCTGTTTTTTTTCAACCTTATGCTTATGGACCTATATTTGAATATACAGTTGACATGGAAGTAGGTATACATTACATACTAACTATAATGTTAAGCCCATTTACTATGTTGATGAAACTATATTATTTCCATAAACTGGATATTTATTCCAAGCACCTTTTATTTATTTATATAGAGTTGGGGGTCTTGCTTTGTCACCCAGGCTGGAGCACAGTGGTGTGATCAGAGCTCACTACAGCCTCTAACTCCTGGGATCAATAATCCTCCCACCTCAGTCTCTTGACTAGGTGGGACCACAGATGCATGCCACCATGCCCAGTTAATTATTTTTTTTGTAGATACGGGGTCTCACTACATAGGCCAGACTGGTCTCAAACTCCTGGCCTCAAGCCATGCTCCTTTTAAAATGTGCTTTAAATAAAGGTTATATAATAATAAAGGAAATACGCCCACTTAATACTAATGATACTACTCTCATATATTGCTTGTAAGAATAATTTAATACATCTTTTCTTGGAAAGCAATTTTTTAATAAATATTTATCTGAAGTATTATAAACTATTCTTGTGCATTGATACAATAATTTTACTTTGGGAAAATTTTCTCAGGGAGATAACTCTGAAATGCAGACAAAGACTTATGCATAAAGCAGTTAATTATAGCTCTTAATGATTTAAATAAAATCTGGAAAAATTGCTGAAACCCCCAAAAATGGCAAAATTGCACTCATACAGTGTACATAGAAGAGGAAAACACACACAAAATATAAACTGTGGTTATCTTAGGTGGTACAATTTCCATCATATTTAAAAATTGTATTTTGGATCTGAAATGCATAGATTGGATTTACTGGTTCTCTTTTATTTATATTCAGTTACACTGAACTGGATTATTTAATAGACAGTGAATATTGGTAAATGCAATATGTAACCAGAAACCAGAGTATTATCAATAGCTTATGCCCTTGAAGGAGAAGGAGAACTGTAATCCTAATATAAAACACATCATCTTTAGGATTCCACTCATTCATTTCAGAGACAATGTGATATAGTGAAGAAAAAATTCAAACTAGGATTATTTTCTGTATTTTTAAATTAACAAATATGTATTATATGTAAATAAAGTAATTTATTTTCTAGTTTTTACAGACTGCATCTTCCATTTCAAATTGGTAAATGTATATGAGCTAACTTGCTCTGAATGCTAAAGCTAAAGTCAGAGATAATACGGAGAGGTGTGCTACTTGATACCAGTTGAGATATATGGTTACTACACATAGACCAGTGTGAGGCCATGTGAGTGTGTGGGCTTTCTCTGTAACAACTAAAAAAAAATGTGGGTTGATATGTTTAAACTGTTAGAATACTCGTAAAAGTTTTTAAGGATTTGACCATGAATTTGTCTCACTTTGCTTATATGAGTTACATTCTAGAAATAGATGCAGACCAATCACTCCACAGCCAACACTGGTTGTTCTGTGGAGCACACAGGTGGAATATGATTCATTCAAGAGACAGATCTAGAACTGGGGCCACACTCCTAGTCTGTTTCCTTCCACTCTATTTTATTGCCTCTGAAAAGAATATTAGAATCTTTAATATGAATTTTGCTTTATATTGTAAAAGACAGCTCTCCTTTTTCTGCCACTATGAAAACAGTTTTTGAAAGCAGAATAGAAGTCACTGGAAAATATGATTTGATATGCAAATATGCACCTTAAACACAACCTTTCACAGACACCTTTCAGTAATGCAAGGAAATCCTCTGAATGTGTATCATAAGTATCTTCAAACAAAAATTGAATGTCGGCATTTTGATAAAAGTCATATATGTAGTATAAGGAATCTTTATTTTATATCTAGATCCCTGGTAAAATAAATGTGCCCATGCTTACCTGGTTTAATAACCAACTTGGAAGGTTCAATTTACTTTTCATTGTTTTCTTAGGAAATAAGGTTTAGTGTTGTCACAATCAGTGAGGCAAAAGACAGATTTGCTTCTTATTTGTTTTATGAAATTACATGAACAAATTAATAGCAATACTAATCTTGTTTCGTTCAGTAAGAAATCGGAAAGAATTATAATACTGTGGTAACTGTTGCCAACTTTGTGGCATTTTTCTTTCTAGTCACAATGCAAGACTTACAAGAAAATAAAAAGGAATCTCAATTTAGGGAAATCATGCAATTTAATAAACTTAAGTATTCAATTTAAGAAATTCTGCTTGGAATGTTAGGATTATACAACATGTGATTATGAAGTATCTGTCTCAACTAAAGTTCAATAAGTATAAAAGCAGGACAACCACACAATGTATTGTCTAGGATACTTTCGAAAGTAAAAAAAAAAAAAGCTGCTATTCATAATGAGCCATACATCAAGACTGTTTAGGGCAAACCAGGATGTATAGGTACCCTAACAGACCAGAACCCCCGTCATTCTTTAACTACATAAATTAGCATGTCTATCTACCAGGGTTCACCAGCTTACGCATTTGTGGTAAAACACGCATATGTTCCTTGGTAAAATAGAAACAATAAAAATCCCAATTTTCTTCCTTTACAAACTGGCTCAGGTATACACTTAAATCCATTTCCTCTAATTACTAGACAAATTGATATCCTATGAAAAAAGACTTTCTTACTTTATTTCAAATTGTTATTCTCCATCAGCCTTCTTCTCCTCTCCCCCAATTTAGCACTTTGTACTTGTTTTGGGGACTTATAAAATAAGAATAGTAGCAGCAATGTTTATTCATTCATCACACAAATACTACTGAGGACTCACTGTGTGCCAGGGCATGTGCTGGGCCCTCCTGGTGATGTGCAGATAATTACAAGTGGTCACTTCTATTATGAAAGACTATCCATTTAGAAGAATAGACAAGTACATAAATGACTATAGCCTGGGGCATAATCTAAACGACAGAAAATATTTACAGAATGCGGTGTGGGAGTTCAGTGGTGGGAAAGATTGCGGTACATGGCAGGAGGACATCATGGAATGCTTCTGATGGAGTGATGCTTGACTCTTGTCTTTGAATGATAGCAGAGATTGTCAGAAAAGCATTCCAGAGGCACAGCAGCCCATGAGCAAAGGCACAAAGAAAGGAAAGCACACAGCTTCCTCTGAGTATTGTTGTGCTGTGGAGTTTGACCCCAAGGTGCTGGAAAGGTGAGGTGGTGAGAGGGTTCCAAGGACCCTCAATGCCAGGCAGAGGATTTCAGAATTAATTCAAGGAACAGAGTCATACAAGATGATAAACAAAGGAGTAAACCAATGAGAGTCACACTTGAGAAGGTTTGATCTGGCAGTGGTGAATAGGACAGCCTGCAAAGACTAGGGACTGGCTACAAGACACCAAAAACTAGCCTAAAGGTAGAACATTGTTGGAAACAAAGGGAAGGCAGCAGTGATAAGGAGAAACATGCCACAGAGCATCTGGAAATACTAGCTCCGATATATGATCACTTATTGGTTTGGCCTACATGACTAAGATTCTCATCTGAAATATTTGAGAAAATGGTGGTGACATTAATAGGCTCCTCAGTGAACCAACTCCAGACTGACAGAATACCATCTTATCTTTAATGCTCAGGTAATAAAAAATTTTCACACTTCATCCAGATCAGTTTTCAATTCAGTAAATTTCCCAAAGGAACGGCACTTATGAAGGTGATTTTTTTAATGGATTATTTTACTGCCCCAGTAGTAAGTGATATAAAATTATTTTAGCTATTTCATTAATGATTCTAAAATGTGACTAACAAGCGGAAGAAAAGGGACTAAGTGGAAGACATTCAGTGAGTTAAACAAATCTAAATATGCTACTCTTTTATACTCTATACACTATTTTCTCGTTTATCTACTTCAACATACAGATAACATATGGTCTCTTTATCAATTATGTTTCATACCCATCATGTTTCTTCCATCACTGGCTTTCAAACTCTTTGATAGGTTTGCCTCTCTCAAGATCAGAGATGGACAGAGCCATCTCTGAATGGACAGAGACAGCCCCCGCTGGCTAGTGGGGGAAGCGCTTATTTCCCTGTCTGTTGCAGTGCTTCTCACATATGCTGATTGAGCCCTTGTTCAACAAGTAATAAAGGGGGTACAAGTGTTTGTTAGAGAACATGCCAAATTTATACCAAATATGAGATTCTATGATTTTATAAGGTGGCCAGTAAAGATAAATTTTCATGGAGACCATTAGCTTTCTACTACATTACTTATGTCTCCCTATTTTTCACCCTCTTTGCCCTTTCCTTACAAGTGTTTGAGACAAAAATGGCATTAGGATTAAAACTCCTGACTCCAAGAACAAATACCTGCTGGAAAGCAAGAGGGCATTTGTTATAACTGGACAGTGGTCCCAAGTTCTTTTCCACTTCCCTTTGTATGGAAAAGAGGAAAGGGACTGAGTGGCTCAGAAGTTGGTCCATGCAGACACCAATGGGAACCCTCATTTATTCCTTCATGAAATATGCGTTGAGCACCCACTGTGAAACAGACCATGTGATACAATGATAAGCAAGGCAGATAAAGCTGCTGCCCTCAGAGCCTTAAGATCCATATAGCTCTATACATGCATCATGCTAGGGACTTGTTTTTTTTTCAACACTGGCTTCACAAATCATGAAGTTGCTCAAAAAATATGATAGAATGTAGTTAATAATTATCCTCTTGTTATTTTTTGAATGAAAATTTCCCTGATTCATGATTCTCTTTTCTTTATGTAAGAGAGAGATTATATACTTAAAGTCTCACAAATATTCAGCACATATTTGCAGGGATCTAGCTCCAGGAAATACATTTTGCAAAATGACACTTCTCAGCACAGCACAAGGATTTACTTATGCCTTGCATAAGGACTGCCAAGAGGAAGCTAATTAATATGCTAAGTGCTCACTCCTATTTATAGACACTGGTCCAAGTTTGGTTTTCGGTTAACATGTACATAGAACTCTGACATATATTTATCCTCTCTTTTCCACTTTTAATACCTCTTCAAGCAAAGTTCTAAATTTTTTTGGCTTACGTTTTTATGATATTGGACGCATAAAGGGTACTTATTTCAGCCTTTTGTATATGTTTCTTTGCCTGATCATTGAGGGAGAAGTAAAAATGATTTCAAGTGATATTTCTAAGTGATAAAAATCTGCAGGCACAGAACTGTTGCTTGTCTTGACTAACATGATGTTTTATACTATCTAAATTTTTCGTGTATTGGTTTCTGACCCCTCTATCAGCATTAGCATTGACTTTTGAGAGTTAACAGCAAATGCTGTAGATAATTCAACATCTTCCTTGCACTCAGGCAGTTGCAAACATATCTTTATTAGGAGTTGGGCAAAAAGATCTCTATGTTTCTTAAAACCTTTCCCTTTAAATTATTTCTAGTAGAGGTTGGATTTGAGATCTGCCTCTACTTGCTAAGGGCTATTTATGATTTATTTCAACCTTTAGCTGGCTCTAGGGGGAAAAATGAATAAAGTTGAAACTAAAAGGAGGAGAAGCTTAATCCTTAGTGAAATTCCAGTGGCATGGAACACCCTGACTCTTACGATGGGTGCATTGTTAAATTTGTATATGTTTATTTTTTCTCAAAAATAAAATTAAACTCATTTATCATTTTTAATTAGAGAACAAGTGCCATCATTTTTTAAAGAGAACAAGTTTCAAGCTGTGAGTCTTTTAATGTAGACTGGTCTCTGAGACTTTTCTGAAGCACAATGTGGAAATTTTAAACCCAGTCAAATATTTTTCTTAGGAAATTGGTGATAGGTCATGGTGAGATATGGGTGTCATTAAATTTTCATAGAGGTTCCTAACACACCAGAGTCACCATAACATGGACACTGAGTATAATATCTCCAAAGAAGCATTTGCTTGTCTGCCGTGGCTCTGAAGGGACCTGTTACAGTCCATCAGTGAAATAATATGTGTGTTAAAAGTCCCTAAATATGTATTTACAAGATAGTCAGATCTGTTTTGGTCTATTGGGTTAATAATCCATGCACTAAGTCTGTATATAAGTACTCACGAGATACACAGATCAGCTTTGGTTCACTGAGTTAATAGTAAGTAGGTCTTTAAAAAGGCACCTAAATAGCCGCATAGTTTGTATTTTAGCAAGTTCAGAAATGCAGTCTATATACTAGAAGCTATTTCTTTTAAAGTGTGGATGCATTGCTCTTGCTCTGGTGGATGCCAAAAGGTGTGCTTCACTCTAACCTGTAATATTTTGCCATTAAAATGTCAGAAGAAAATTGCCATAGCACAAACTATATTGAAGCTCTGAGGCACAGCCCTCCAGGCTGGGGTGGATGCTGTCCTAGATTATGTCATACATACTCCACCCGCTATCACCGCCCAGGTCCAATACCCCACTCCCTCTCAGCTGACTTTGCTTCCTTCCTGTCAGTCTCAGACCAGCAGCTGGAGTAATCCTGTTATGGCTTTCCTATGTTCCAGCAACTTCCCATCTCAGAGTCAAAGCAACTTCCTATATCATGGTCAAAGCCAAAGGCTCCACAAAACACACCCTCCTTTCTCTGAATTCACCCCTTCCACTCTCTCACTGGTCTCTTTGCTACTCCTTGTACACCCCAGCATGCTTCTGCTTCAGGTCCTTTGCCCCTGCCCTTCCTTCTTTCTGAAAATCTCCTTTCACATGGCTAGATCTCTTATATTCTTTAGTTCTCTTATGAGAGAAGTCTTGCATTACCACTCTGTATAAGACAGCAACATCCTGTCCAACACCACTCTTATTATTTTCCATTAGTACTTCTCACCATTGAAAAGAATATGTCTTTACTTTTATGTTTATTGTTGACCTCCCTCTCCTAGAAGCTCCTTCCACTGGGGCAGGAGCTTCCTAATCCCATGCATAGATAACTGCCTGGTACATTTTAAGTCCTCATTAAATATTTATGGTACAAATGAATGAAAGCAGATGAAAAAGGAGTCTTCTTTCTACTTCCTTGATTGCCTGGTTGTGCTCATGTTTAGGTTGAAGAGGAATGCATATCTCTTTCTGAGCTGAAGTCTTCTTGGCCATTAAACCTCACTTTCCTGTGATATTCTCTCAGTGGCACAAAACTGGTACTTCCTTAAGGTGCTCATCCATCCCGCTCCTAGAGCTATAGGGTTATAAGGAAGCTCCTAGAGGAGCTAGGGTCATCTCAGCTGGTCACAGAAACACCAGATCAGTCTGCTTCTAGGTGTAACAGTAAAAGTGCAACACATAGACAGAATTAGCATTTCTAAATCTCTTCACTGAATGAGCCTAATGGTGTCCACCACAGGCTCCAATGATGGCAGTGGACTGACTAGATTTTGCAGTTTGATGCAGCCACAAGGGATGGCATGTGCCACTCTATGTGTGTGTCACATAATGATAACAGACTGAGGAGTACTGGGCAGAACCATTATTCTCTCTTGAATCTGGTAAATTTCTCTGGAGGTATTCTCCCATGCCTCCACTCCCACCTTTAACCATGCATGTTGTTCTCAAATGCATCCTTTCTAATGATTGAAAACTGTCATAGCAACTCCTTCCTTATTTGAATTTCACAGGAACATTCTTTATTTCAATCACTCAGAAAGGAGCCTTTGGCAACGGAATCACAGCTGACAGCAAATTAATGACTATGATGCTGTGATTAGTTGAGATTACAGGCTACAGAGAGCTTGTCTGAGAATTCACCACTGACATCATCCTGATGCTGGCTTCTGCTGGGGATTAATATTGGTCAAAAAAGAGGTTGTGGTTCAGTTACAGTAAGCTCCATAGAAATGTAAGGAAATCTGTCTGTATTGTAATATTTCAATGACATGCTGATTCATTTAAAGGGCTTTTACTGTTAACTTGCTTAGCCTAAACAATCTTCCCCTATGCCCTCCCCGAGCACACTGACTTATTTTAATAAAGCTTTAAGGCATCCAAATAAAAAGTTGAAGTGATCTACATAATTCCAGTCCCCAAACTGAAAGTATTCATTAACCAAAAGGAAAACATAAGAATCTTGAATTATTTGGATAAGTCATTCAATTTTATAATTTATTTTACATGAATAGACAAAGCAATGGATATTGTAATGCATGTCAGTGCTTGAGTAGATTTAGAAAATAAAACTTTTCAATCAACTTAATAAAGAGGAGGTAAAAATTTAACATGAACAACACAAGAATGACAAAAACCATCTACTCAGTTACCAGTTGTCATTTCACATCCTTCTAAATTTTGGCTGCAAAGAAATAATGATTTCTGTAATCCCCAGGAATGACTTTTGTGGGGAGAAGATTTCAAACAAACGTCCATTTGCTTTAGATGAGCTTCCTTATTTGATTTCAGATCCTCCTAAGGGAAGAGATTTCAGGATTTCCTGGTTGTAAAGTGGAAGAGAACACTTTGCTGAACTTGTATGACATCACCTGAAGCATTAAAAGGGCAGGTGACCATGGGTTCTCTGCCTGTTTACCAAAGCTTCTTTACTTCCTCAATCTATTTTATTTTTAAATGTCAGAGTAGTCTGAAACCTTTCAAAGATATTCAGGCTGCAGAAGCAGAGGAAATATTAGGATACATTCTTTAACTTTTGTGAGAGCTTTTAAATAATCAATGGATGGACTTTTCGAATTGTTATATATCACAGTACAGATATTCTGACATTAAACCATGTGAAGAATAAATATAGTTTAACAACAAAGGGCATGAGGCCATCTCTATTTCTAGGAAGTCTGTGAAATGGCTCTTTAGAGTACAGACCAGAGGCACAAAGAGAGTATTGCATTTCCAAAGAATACAATATAATAAAATTTAGTTTATCAATGAAAATTAGAATATTATACAACAAATGAAAATAGTAAACACAATCTTTGTTTTAAATATATTTTTCAAACTCCACTTGGAAATCCACATATATTATAGAACAGATTTTAAAAATGTAGCTGTTGCAATATTATTTATTAAAAAGCAACAAAATGAGAGCAAATTATATTTAAGCTTATACTATAAAAATATTTTCCAATATACTTAAAACACGAGAGCCACATAGCTAAAGCAAATAGTATTTGAAAGATCTTACACTGGATATGTAATAGACAAGACATTTCTCACTGTAATAAATTAATTTCTTTGTTATACAAAACCCCTCAACCGTAACTTCATGAAGAAATGTGAAGTGGTATGAAAATGACCTTACCTCATATTCAAAGTCTTCTGTTCTGTCTGCATCAGCAGGCAAGCTGGAAATATACTCATTGTCCTCATAAAATTCATGCTCCATTGGATGTAGAGAATGGCAGCTATGGGGAATGTAGCAATATGATAGGAATAGATTAAATGGGTTGTTTTCCAGATTAAAACTGATTTTAGAATTTCACTTTAGTTTGCTCTGCTTTGGAATAAGATCTGTAGTGATCTAGTCTTTAAACAAACTACAGCTGAGGAAAAGCAATAGCTTTTCTTTCTCCCTCTACGTGAAGTCCATCAATTTGCAATTTCTGAGAGAATGCTAGGAATAAGGGCCTATGGTCAGAGTTGTATTCTGTGGAAAGACTGATGTGAAATCTCTGACAGTCCGTGGTGCTTTATTGATACTTTCTGGCCTGCTTCCATTCCACTGAATGTGACAAGCTCCATACGTGGGTGTGTGGCATTTGAGATTGCAGTCTACTCAAAGAGGGGTATTTTGTCATAAAGTACTACCAATTTCATAATCCACAGCTGCAAACTATTTTTTGAAAACCATTTTCAAAAGCACTTATTTTTTCAGACTCTAAAATGTGCTCACATTGTCCCCTCCTCTCTTTCTTAAGATCCCCCTTTCTCACTCTCCCTCATAATGCACATTTTCCCCTCTTTGATCAAGGACATATACACAAATATTAAAGAACATTCATGGCGATCAATCAGTGGAAACTCCTATAAGCCACAAGGTTTCAAAATACCTTTAGAAAATTCTCAGTGACAGAGAGAGCAGATTACATTAAGGAAATGAGAGGATATGGCTTTTATGTATTTCAACTTTTAGGAAATTTTTAAATAGTTTGTAAACATGTTATTCGATTTAGTATGTTCTGATATAAAGACTACACATCATACCATATGAAGACTAAGCATAGTTTAACAGCAAAGAGCATAAGGCCTTTTCTATTTCTAAAAGACACTGAAAAAGCCTAAATACAATTGACAAGTTGGTTGCAGATGAGACCTCTAACTCCTGCCAGTGTGGATCTTTTTGAAAAATTGGAGATAGCAGTATCAATTAGTTCCCTTCTCCCTTGTTGAAAGGCAAGAGACCCATCCTCATGCCCTCATACTATAGTCAGCGTAAATATTCTACCAGCCTCTCCTCACTACTATCTATGGCTGTCAGCTCCACACAGGTCTAACTAGTGTAGGCCAAAATGGTAAAAGTAATACAGGCAGCACCTTGCCTTGTGTCTACCAGATAAATCTCCTTGCTTATAGCTGGACTGGGTCCGCATAGCCCTTTTGGGCTCTTGGAATATCGAAGCCTGCTGCTTTGGACATCTGATGTGTTTCCCTTGTCTTTCGGATAGTAAGAAGGGAGCCCTGCTGTGAGGAACACTTTATTCATTCGACGTTTATTTAGTGGCTGCCAGATGCAAGGCCAAGTGCTGGAAATATGTTGGTTTACAAAATCCAATTCTGCCCTATTAATTGGGGAAAGCAGCAAAGTGGGAATTTTAATACAGTGCAATAATTAAGGGAAAAATACAGGAGCCTTGGGAGCACATGGTAGGGGTGGACCCACTGCAGCCCTAGGAAGTTTTCTAGAGGAGGTTGTCTCTAAGCTAAGGTCTGCAGGACCTAGGAAGAGCAGCAAGATGCACTGGCTAAGGGGGTAGGCATTGGGGTCAGACCTCTTAGGCCTAGAAGCCTGGCCCTGTCACTTTTTTGCTATGTGATCTTGGCCATGTTACTTAATATCTGTTCCCTCATCTTAGACATAGAATGTTGATAATATAATGTACTCCCTCCTAAGATTATTGTGAGAACTAAATGAGTCAATAAATGCAAAACGTTTGGAATAATACTGAAAGCATGTTAAGTTAGCTAATACAAGCTAGCTATTATTATTCATTCAAGGAAGTATTTGTTGGATGGCTACTATGTTTTAGGCTGTATTAATGAATATTATATATTTGTTTCCTTGCTTTTTGTTCAACTCCCCTTGTAGAATATAAACTCTAGAAGGCAGTGACTTTATTTTTGTTCATAGTTTTATGCCAAGCATCTAGTTGCAAGCCCTGACACATCCAATTTGTGTCTGATACAAAGGGCTATTTAAAATAAAGAGATACCCAAGACAAACAGATCCCCTGCCTTCCTGGAACTCGAAGTCTCAAGAAGTGTTTTCAAAACTTGGCTGCACATTAGGATTGCCTAGGGAGACTTTTGAAAATTTCTGATGCCTAAGCCTTACTCTAAGAATTCTCATTTAATTGGCCTAAGGAGTGATTCAGGTACTGATACAGCTTCTGAAAGTTCCCAGGTGATTCTATTGTACATCTGTGACCCACTGAAACGGGCTTATGGGAGCCAGCCATCAAAGGGCAGGAAAGTGGCATGACTCAGATCTTTGTTTTATGAAGTAGAGAGCGGATTGGAGTAGGTGATGAAAATGCAGGCTAAGGAGACTATTGCTCTTACAAACTCTCAATGTTTGAATATTTGCTCGAAAGCTCACAGAACACAATGAATTGGGCAAGCATACTTTTAAAACTGTTCAAGTAGGATTATTTGAATAAAATCTCTCTGACTTCCTTTAAATTAGGCAAAAATCAGGAGGAAGTATTCCTTGAATAGATCTTTATTTGATAGCACTATACTTACTCTCTGACAGCCAAGATCCTTTGTTTATATCTCAATATATTGGGTAAGTGCTTTCGTCAGAGAATTGCACTTTAATTAAATCAATTTCCTAGCTTCTCTTTAAAGAAGAGAAATGCAAGGAAGAGAGAGAGGTGGCCCACAGAGGAGAATGTGGTGCCAAGATGCCACTTCCACATGAGTCTTAATAAGGTTTTTGGCAGCTTTGGTGAGAAAAGTGATTTCCCTGACCAGTGTTCATGAGTAGCATGAGGCTTTTGACAGCTAGTAATATGAAGATGAACTAATCAGAGCCAGAATTTTTCACAGCAGCTAGCAAGTATGATTACCCAGGTGGAGCAACCATGTGGGTCAGGGAGAGTAGCTAGCAGGGACCACTGAGAACTAATTGCACATATCAAAACAGGGGAGACATTTTCCAAACGGAGCTGGGAAGCCTGTCTCCATAACTGTCAACCTGCTAGTGGAACTGCTTCTTTTCAACATCTGCTTTACGTGACAAATGGAAACAAACAGGGCTTTGGAAGAAATGATAGAAAAATACCTGTCTGAGAGCAGGAATGGACAGATGTCTGGCACTGGAGGGGTAGGTGGACGAAGCTTGGCCAGAGCCATGATGTGTTCGAAGGTGATGTCCGTCTGAGTGCTGGCATTCATAAGCTGCACTTCTGAAGCCATCCCATAGGCTGGTCTACTAAGAGGTGTTCGCCTTAACACCTGCACCACAATGGGCTCCTTGGCATTGCGAAAAGCTTCCACTGCCTCTTCATGAGTGGCCTTTGAAAGATCCTTCCCATTGACCTACAAACATATAAGGACATTGTTCATCTCAGAGGAAAGATCAGAGAGGCTGTCATGATAGATTAATAAAAGACAGAGAGAAAGGTTTCAACCAGCCCTGATATGAATTTTGTAATGGAATATTTAATCAGATATTAATATTTACTGAAGTCTTTACCAACATGATGAAGTACCTGAGATTACAACAACAATTACTTCTGTATCTTTATAAAGTATCTGGAGTTGGTTAACTAGTAAAACAGCAGAACTATTAGCAAAGATTTAAAAATTTAAGTAACACATCTGCTTCAGAAAAGGGTCACCGAAGTCTTCAGATAGTTAGAAATGTTAAGTATATCCTACTTTTTCATGATCTATCAATCTCTCGGTGAGATTTTCAATATTTAATCAAGGTCTTACTTGCCTAAAATTTAATTTTTTAAGATATTGTCAAATTTCCTCCATATTCATAATGTTTTAATCCAAGACCATGTTATTGCCCATGTGCATTTTATCCTAAATCCTCACTGTTTGAAGTGTGGTCTGTGAACTAGCAGCATCAGCATCACATGAAAGATTATTAGAAATACAGAATCCCTGGCACCACCCTGGACCCACTGAATCAGAATTGGCATACTCACAAGATTCCGGCTTTATATTTATATTCACTGAAAGAAGCAATGCTCTAAAATTCCTCTGAATGGGTATATTATGTCCCTCTAGATACTCACTTGTTTTAATTTCTACCAATTCATGACTCTCCAAGGTAGCCCTGGACATTACAGAGAAAGAGGTGAAGTCTCCCTTTGTCCTCAGTCATTGCTTTTCAACAGGGGCAGAAACCATTGGCATTTGGGAGAGAAAAATTATTCTTTTTGTGGGACTCTCCTATGCCAGCTTACCAAGGGCCAGGAATGTTTCCCAACCTCTGTGGTTCCCAAAACACCTACACATTTTCCCTAGCAAACTTGTGGGAGGCAAAACAGACCACTCTCAAATATTTGTCAATTTATTCCCCTAAAATGAGTCCTGATAACACAGCCTTTTAGCGGAAGTTGTGTTTTAATAAAGGACTCTAGAATCCTGAAAGAGCTTTATGACTCTCGCCCCAGATGAATCGATAATGCTGGTTTTTGCAGATGTGAAGAGCTATCTGGTGGCACAATACTGTGCCCAATATCCCTGAAACTATACCATCTCTAGACAGCTAACTAAGCCACCCGCCTGTTGGTGAGGCACTGATAACTGTTACGCACCAGCAAACCCTTAGAGATCCCTGGGTGCCTAAAAAAGAAGCAAAAGAAGTCACTGAGTTGCAGCTGTAGAGAAACTGCTGACATTCGAATGGGCACATTCTCTCTCCCTGAGTAGACAAGGAATATGTGTGTGCTCAGAGCAAGTGTGGGGCGTTTTGGGGTAAATGATACAATGCCAGGTAGAAATCATCATGTCATGTAGAGGCAGGCTTAATGACCTGGAGGAGCTAATTTACTCAGTGGACCCTGAAAGAGTTAATGTGCCTTCAAAAAATGAGCAATTAAGCTTCTTCACCAGCAAAATATGTCCCAATTCAGTTCTTGCTCTTGAATCACTAGTAAGAAACCCCAGGTGGAGATCTGACTGGGTGTTTACCAGTGTGAACACATTCACTAATCTATGCATTCTCTGTCTGATTCTTTTTTTCATGAACTAAACTTGAAAAATTATCACTGAGTTTTCATTGATACACCTTGGAATATCTGACTTGGGGCACATGAGGATATGTGGACATGAGACACCTATGGACATGATCACACTCATTCCTTTAGCTTCTGCTGTATGACAGGTGCTCAGGCCGGGGCCACTACTGTCTCCCCTGAGGACATGTAGACAGCAGATGATATAAGAAATCCCAGAACGAAAAAGCACAACATAAAATCTAGCCCCTTTCATTGAATAATATCATCCCATATGTTTCATATTGTGGTCAGTATTTATACATTCCAGATTGTGGAAGATAATCAAGTGGTAGGTAAGACTGCTCTGTGAGAATTGATGCAGTAGGTAAAAATTGCTCTTTTGTCCTCAGCCTTCCTGCTTCAGGATGTACCCTGAGTTTAGTGAAGATCTGTTCCTGCAGGAACCCACACCCTTCCCTCTCTGAAAAGAAATCTCAGTCACACAGTCTGTTATCAACTATTTATTTATTTATTTTTATTTTTTATTTTTTGAGATGGAGTCTTGCTCTGTTGCCCAGGCTGGAGTACAGTGGCGTGATCTCAGCTCACCATAACCTCCGCCTCCCAGGTTCAATGATTCTCCTGCCTCAGCCACCCAAGTAGCTGGGGTAACAGGCGCATGCCACCATGCCAGGCTAACTTTTGTATTTTTAGTAGAGACGGGGTTTCACTATGTTGGCCAGGATGGTCTCTAACTCCTAACCTCGTGATCTACCCGCCTCAGCCTCCCAAAGTGCTGGGATTGCAGGCATGAGCCACCACTCCTGGCCTTATCAACTATTCAATATATCTACTGGAACTGTGTCAACATGTTATCTTTTCTTATAAGCCTTGCATCAAGAGGAATCCCTAATAGTGGTAGAGTGAAATAAGACCATTTTTTTGAGGCAACTTTATCCAATATCTGAAGGTAAAGTGAAAAACTCGTGACCACGGTTTCTTCCAGTTGTACATTAAATTCTACTAATGCACAAAGTGTTTCAATAGGTAGTAGACAGATAAATGCCATTCACCTATTTTTTCCCCAAGACAAGGCAAGGCTCATTTTTCCTCAGCCTTACATGTTAATCTAGTCCTGGTGTTCTGAATGTTTATTTGCTTCAGTGATCTTCGAAGCAACAGAGATTTTTAAAAAGTGAGATTCCTACTGATAATGATTATTTATCTGTGTTACTATAAGCTAAGTAGGATTGTTTTTGCAAAATCCAGAAGAGTATAGTTTTTTCTGAGGAAATATAAAAATCATTGAAAAGTATTTGAGGCTGTGAAATCATTATTGTAATGCTTAGTATGTGCAAACAATATTAGCGTTCATATGTCAAGATCAATGGCTATTTATTATATGACCTATACATTCATTTATTTATTATCATGAAATTTATATGCAAATTTCATTCTTTTCTCTAAGAACAATCAAATACAATCTTAAAAAAAGGACAGTCAGTGTAATCTCAAGATCTTACTTGCCTATTGGGGAATGCTCTTTTCTTCCAGTTATCATGCAGCTGACCTCTATTTTCATAAGCTATTTAATATCTCTCAAAGTAAAGAAGTCTATGACCTTTAAATGCTCTACTGCTACACATGATCCCTTAGAAAATGCAAGCATTGATGATCCTAAACACATTTTTTTTTCACTTCACTTGAAGTTCATCAACATACTGTTAGCCCATCAAAAGGTCACCATTTTATATATTATGCCTTTCCCAAGAAAAGAAAAGAAGAGCTTAATTGGGATTTTCTGGCAATTGCTCTGCTCAGTTATCATCAGTTGCAGCTAGAGAGAAGAATTATATGGGAAGAATATCTACAGTTAACCCTCTAGGAGAAGTTTGTTAACAACAGCAAAACTTCCTTTTTTTTCAAGTGATTAGTTTTTAAACCAATAACAGATATTTGGTGTTTCATATTGCCATATCCTTACTTATTATTCTATTTCTTTACCACTATATTCTGTCCCTCCATCCCACCTTCCCTTTTTTCCTCTTCCCTCTTACTCCTTTGTCTCAATCTTAAATTTAGTCTTGTACGGATGACATATAGTTTTTAATTGTTTTGTGAGATGAGACTAAAGGTGAAGAAACTATCCATTAAAGGAGTCCCATTTAAAATAGGTAGTTAAGGGTAGATACCCAATATTTCTGGGTGTCCAGTAAAAGGTGGGAAGATCTTTTGCTAGAGGAATACAGATGAGTTGATTTTCAGGAGAAAATATGAATATGGTTAGGAGCAAAACTGAGGGAAGAGGGTGCAAGGTAACTTGATTACTGAAAAAAATACCCATGTGTTATGGGGTTTGAGTTTGCATGCAGAAGGATTTTAAGAAAGAGCAATTTGATTTAAGCATACCATAGGAAAAGAGCCTTTTTCCAAAACGGTTGTTATATCGAATGATTGAGAGGATAGGGTGTCATAATAAACAGGAGTAGTATATGCAATAATTTCCTCTATTGCCATAACTTCTGGCGTTTCGATAGCTGTGGCTCAGACTGATTTGTTTCCATTGTAACCGGGCAACTAGTGTACAACTGAAAAGGTTTGTGCCATTGATATTCGATAAGAGGCTAGTAGTCCCAGGGTGGGACGATTGGATTCTGAAATGATAATTTAGCCACTGGACTTGAGATAAATGAAAAAGCAGACACATTATGCAACGAGAGGTTATCAGAATTGGCAACAGCAAAAAAAGAAGAAAGGATGATGCCAATGAGAGAAATTCTAGGATAAACAGTGACATGTGGTTGTCCCGAGACAAACTAAATGTAGGATTAGAAAAAAAGTGGAGAGGGTAGTCTTAATCATTCTTAATCATATGAAACTTGAAGCAGTTATAAGGTATATATTCAAATGAATTAACAAGTAAATGGATGATAGGAAACTAGAAGAAAAATTGATCATAGGAAACCATTTTCTGAGAAGGTCTTCGCCTCATCCCTGCACTTATCAATTCAGATCAGCACAGACAAATATCCTTAAAGATTATATATTCAAGTGATGGCTTGTAATAAACACATGTAAATTTTTAGATACAAAAATAATTATCCTGTTTCTAAAAAGTTATTATTTCCCATTATATTGATAGCATAATCTTAAGTGGATAAAGAAAAAGCAATCACTTTTCAGTGATCAATGTAAAAAATGTGCGAATACATTTCTTATGGCAGATGGGCTAATGAATCCATAAGCAACTTGCGAATGTTAGGTAAAGAAGAGGGCTTTTCATATGTAAACCATATCATGGTAATATTTGATGAAGCTTCTGTTTAATGAATCATCTACCCTTTTGGATATACTGCAAAATCTGGGCCACTCTTCAATAACTTCCCCAGAGTGCCTAGTGGCCTCAGCTTGGATTTGAGCTGTTCCCCTTTGATTATTCCTCCAAATCCAACCACATGCAAAATTTTCTTGGATATCAGAAAACAAACAGCCTTTTTTGATTTTCTTTTGAAGTGCTAACAAGTGCATGAATAACTCAGTCACTCTAGTGAGAAGCCATTTCTAGAGTCAGCTGTTTGAGAATGATGAGGGTTTCCAAATCTCCATGCCTCTTATGAGAAATAAGGGCTTCTAAGCACCTATGGCTTTCAAGGGAGAATAAATTTAAGAAGGCGCCATAAAAGAAGCATAGAATTCCAAGGATTATGGACAATTGATATAACCGAATTTGAAATTGAGGATAAGTATAAAATACTTGTGTATTATAATTCTGGTTGGACATGATCCTGTACCTGGTTAGTCTACAAGATCTCCCACCCTCACTAGTAACTGTGGAATTAATTTTGACTGAAGTCCCTAAGTGACGCAGAGTCAATTCTCTATTTGATAATTAGGGAGGTGTTGCCAAAGCACAATCTAGTAACATTTTACAGAAGGAAGAAACAATATTTAAATTGCTGCTGAAATGTTTGGTAGAGAAGGAATTTCAGATAATCTGAACCCTATATTCATCAAAACACTTGTCATATACAATCTTCAAATTAATTTTAAGAAATTTCAGCTCACTGCTTTTTTTTCCCTAAACTTTGGTATGATTGACTCTATTTGAACATTGTTATATTAATGGAATATAGCACAGTGTAAAACATATTTATAATAAAAAGAAGTCACATAATAGGAATCTGCAAAATTGTATGAAGGAAACCTGACTAAAATTAACTTCGACCTTTAAAAAAAAGGTTATCAATGAACAAAACAATCACTGATATGTAGGTTTGTGTTCTTCATATAATTTCAGAACCTAAGTACATAGGAAATGTTAGATTGCATCAACCCCAAAGTCCATTTAGTCCAGTGTTCCGCTTTGGACAGTGCTATAATTGGATTTTTGGAAGAGAATATGGTGATTATTCCATGTGACACAATAAGCAGACTTATCCTAAAGTGATCCTGGGGCTTCTTCTGCTTGTCTGTCTGGACAACAAGAGACTGGGAGCTTCATTTCCCTGGGTATAGGGTGTTGCAGCTTCCCTTAGCTCCAAAATCCCCAGGGACTTTGCCAGGCAGCTGGCTTTCTCAGACAAATGAAAATAAGTGATATCTAACCCAGGCAGCCTGAACCTCCAGTAGTCTGTTCCCTTACTGACAATGTTCCCTATAAGAGAGAGCAACAATAGGGTGGGATCCCTCTGTTGAAATACAGACCCACCACATGCCCACAGTTTCTGGTCCCTTGCTTGACTGTGTATTGCTGATTCCTGACTTGTGTGTTTCCTTAATAAAGACTGTTGCCTAACCTATTACTTGTGACATTTTGGGATTTGCCTCTACCAATCTGATTTAACATAACACCCATTTGCAACCTAAGATAATTGAATGCCTTGGAAATGCTTACGTATGTAACAGTATTGAATTGAGGACTCCCAGCACCCCAATGAGATATTTGAAAAGCCTATTATTACATTTAGTTAATAGATTGTGACACTGAGGTCACAATAGTCCAGTATGTTGCTTCTGATCCCTTCTACAGAGCACTTTGATGGTAAGGCATTCTCAAATGCAAGCAGGACTCATTTTTAATTTTTCGTATGAAGAGGTTATGGATCCATTATTTGTGAACTTATCCAAACTGTTCCTGAACCAATGAATAATTTTGGTTATAGGTAATCTTGAGGATGTATCTGTTGCAACTGCTTTTTCCTTTCATTATCTTTTCCTTGTCTTGCTTTTTTTGTATCCCTCCTTCTGTATTTTCTCTTCCTTTCCTTGTTCCCACTGTCACACTTCTCTTTTAAGCTTTCCCATCAAAGCATTTAACACCTTTGAAGAGTGCATATTTATATGAATTATTCCTATAATTAAGAAACGTGTTATGGTATGTTCTGATTCTTACTGAGGAAAACAAACTAAAATGCACACGACATAGTTTTATTAACCTCTTTATAAATAAGTTTATTTCCCCTCACCTTAATGAAAGAAATGGAAGTTTCTGCTTTTTGGCACATGAGTTGGATGTCTTTGGTTTGTCTTTCAGATCCACAATCTGCTCTTTTTACCCAGCTCTCTGTCTTGGCACCCCTGCCTCACCCAGGATCTCTACTGTTTTTTTGTTTGGTTAAGCCAATGGTTAGAGAGTATTACAGGTCTTTATCCAGTCCCCAAGACTCTAGCTCTTGCTTGGCTCTGCTCACAATCCTGACTCACCTTCACTCTCCAGGTCTACAGGTAGTAAGAACGTCTCTCTCTCTCTCTTGCTATTCCCTAGGTTCTTTATGTTAACTCTGCTCATGCGTTTGTAAGTTTTTCCATCATTAAACTTTCTTCAATTAAACGCTTTGATTATGCTATTTGTTTTCTTCTGGGACCCTAAGCATGAAACTCTTCTGACTTTAACAAAAATGTGGCAAGAACTAAAATTTGTTATCTTTGCAAATTAACTTTACTATCAAAAGTAGTTGCATCTAAAATGAGATTATGAGTTTGTCAGATTTAGCAAATTTACACATTTTTAAGGGAGATTTTAAAATATAACTTTTATTGAGATCATAGAACAAATTTAAAGTATTTATATAGTTGTTTGATGTGTACAGGTATTTTGTAGAATATCCCTGCTATGGTTTGAATGTGTCCCTCAAAGTTCACACGTTAGAAACTTAATCCCCAATGCAACAGTGTTGAGATATGAAAACGTTCAGAGGTGATTAGTTTATAAAAGCTCTGCACTGACGGATGGATTAATGCTATTATCACATGAGTGGGTTCCTGATAAAACAATGTGTTTACTCTCCTTCCCAAACCTTTTGCTCTCTGGCATCCTCTCTTGCCATGTGGTGCCTTCCACCATGTTATGACACAGAAAGAAGGCCTTTGCCAGATGCTGGCACCTTGATATTGAACTTAGCACCCTCAAGAACTGTGAGAAACACATTTTTTAAAATTATAAATTGCCCAGTATGTGGTATTCTGTTACAGCAGCAGAAAGCAAACTATGACAATCCCTCCATTTGGGTTTGTCTAATATTTGTCTTGATTAGACTCAGGTTATATATTTATGTATTTTGAGCAGGAATGTCCAGAAGTGGTGGTGTGTCCTTTTCAGCCTATCTTATCAGGAGGCATGTAATGTTTATTTGTCTATTACTGGTGATGTTAACATTTATGACTTGATAAGAGAGAGAGAGAGAGAGATTGAGAACCTAAGCAAATGTAAACTGTTAATTAATCTTAAAATTTGGGGAGCCTAGGTGAATTATATTTGAGAATTTTTATACTATTCTTGGAACTTAAAATCATTATTTTTTATTCTCATAATTTTTTGATGTCTGAAACTGAAAAAAAAGTTTCATAATATTGTTATATTTATTATTAGTTAAAAATAGATTCATGCTGTAATCATTTAGAGTTCACAAATAATTATAAGGAATTGATAGATGAATAGCTTCCTGTAGAGTTTGTTTCTGTTGCATATCCCTAGAAAAACAAATTCTTACTGTACTATGAATGTCTTTTTTTCTCTGTGTGCACATGCACACATACACACACATATCCCTACAAGCAAAAAACACAGATTTGTGTCACCAACTTTATCTTTGTCATAATAATTCATCTACTGAATATCACCTGATATCCTGCTCTCCAAGCTGAGCTATTTAAAAAGATAGATGGCTGCCTCCTGGCTAATTGTGGGAGTTCTTTCATTACTACAAAAAGACTTTTTATATCTCAAGTGACTCTATATGCAGTGAAAAATGACTCAAATCTTTGGAGAAGATCCCACTGATGAAATGGTTGGCTAACAACTACTTACTGACCTTTTACTTCCTAACGTAATACTAAACTGATGTAGGTGATTATTAATAAACCTATTCACTGAGTTGTGACATATCAGACCCAAGTATTTAAAACGTAACAAGGAATTCAGATGGAGACAAAATTTTCTATAACAGGTCTAAGGATATAAAGGCATAAGGCATATATACAATAAACACTTGAAATAAACTCAAATTATTTCATTGGGAAAAAAATGTCATTGTCATTAAACAACTCAGGTTTCTTAAAAAAAATCCTGCAAACAACATCAACAACTGAGGATTTGGACAGAGCTATTCATCTTTCATATCCATTGAACAAGAGGAAATGTGCTCTTAGCCCTTGGACAAGATCTTTTTTGTCCCATCTTTGTGATGAGAGCACAAAAGGATGTAGAAATCTACCTTGCAACTTAGCCACACTAGCACTAGCTGGAAAATACCTATTTGTTAAATAAACGAAATAAATTGTACCACATAAAGGAATAGGAGACAGTGAATTACAACAACAGGGCGTCTGTCATAACGGGAAAGAAGATGGTAAAGTATCTTCACCAGAGGTTCATTATACCCTATCTATGAGAGCAACATAAGGCTTCACTATTTAAATGCTTCTGTACAAAACGCACTGAATGATAAGAAACTGGAAATTGTGTTTAGTGCTGTAGTTTCAGGGCCTAAAAATGTGCTTGGCACATACTTGAAAATAATTATGTGTTAAATACATTTTCATATATTTCTTTATCAAGAACCATGTTTAAACAAATATGATTGCACTTGTCACTAAAATCACCTGTGTTCACAATGCAGACTGCATTACATTCACTTCCCAGCTCCATTCTGTAGCCCAGTTGTCCACATTATTCCTTTGACTTAAATGTATTGTACAAATGATTTCTGAGTGGCAAGCAAAGGTCAGGGCTGCTCTGCTCTTAAACCCCTCAATGCCCTGTCATTCATTGTTGTAGCAGAAAAGAGCATCGACGTGGGAATCACTCAGAACTGGGCCTAAACACAGTTTTGGGGACTAGCTGTGTGACTTTGAGAAAGTTACTGAAACTCTATGAGCCTCTACTTCTTCATGTGGAAAAGGGGATAATAATATCCACTCAGAGTTGCAGATAGGATCAAATAAAAACAAAGCTAGGGGAGCCGGCACAGTGCTATGGTGGTGATCCATAACACTTCCTTCCCTCCCTCCTTCCTTCCTGGGTAACTCTTGAGTGACAGAGATGAGGCTACTCTCTGGGGATACACGTTACATTCCTGGCAGTGACAATGACAGTAATACTAGTTCGCACTGAGTGAGCACTCACAGAGTGCCAGGAGCTGAGCCAAGCCCTTGGCCTATATTATCTCAATCACATCCAAGAACAGTCATGGGAGGTAAGTATGTTATCCCCATTTGAACGTTGTGGAAGCTGAGTGTAAATGAGTGTAACAGGCTGAGCAAGGAAAGGCACCTGCTCTTACAATCTGGGAAAAACAACATATATATCTATAATTGTAACCAAACTCATAAAAAGCTGAAAGGAAGGTATTAACAGCTCTGCAAGAGCACAAAGGGCTAACTATGCCTGTGCTATTGTGATGTGACTCCAGGACTTTGACGTTTGAGGTGGGTCTGATGAGATGAAAAACTTTATAAACTGCACAGATGGGAGAAAGGAGAGGAACCCCAGGGTTGAGGCATGAAAGAGTAAGTCCTCTGGGGACCACGAGAGGTCTGGGGTGACTGAGTCTTGGAGAAGAGGTTGTAGAGAAAGACAGCTTTAACATAGATCCTAATGTCCTCCATGGGTCATGGTAAAGGATTTTTAAAAAATACCTTTCATCTGAAAAGTAGTGTGGCCTCATTTAGGTTTAGGGGTATAAAACTTGGAAGGCTGTGGTGAGACATAACTGAATGGAAGCAGGGAAACCATTTAGGAAATTAGTGGGAAAAATGATGGGTACTTGAGTCAAGACAGGGACAGTGTGGATAGTCCAGTTGGAGGAGGATGAAGAGAGCTGTAAAATGGTATCCTGATGCTGCCATTCACATGGATTTCAGTGGGCCCCATGGATTCAGATTGGCAGATTTTCTATAACAGCCAGCCTCGGTATCTATTCCCATCAATTAATCCACACCGTGCAGAAATACAAGCTGAAGAGGTTGAATTTTAAGTATATAAAGGCATTCCAAGTAGACGTTGCCCATCCCTTGAAGACTTACATTTTCAGAGGTTATTTTAGAAATCAAAATTCACTTCTTCCAATATTCTGAAGCTCAGTTTTTCCAGTTATTACCAACCTAGCCAATTGGGTAACTGTTCCACCATAAACACATTCAATCTCTCTCTCTGTTTCTCTTTCTCTTTTTCACACACACACACATGCACAAACACACACACTTATACTTTCTAAGGTCCTCCACCTGCATCGTTATACCTTTGTGTAGGATATAAACTTAGAAAGGTATGTTACCAAAGAGAATATATAGAAGTTGTGCAACATGGACATTAACATAAGAAAGTAGAACTTGCATGACATACAACTGTCCCTTTCAATACCAGCATTTTTAACTTAGTGCCTACACAATGAATGGTATTTCACATCAGTTTGAAAGGACAGGACAAAATTTGAACAAGCAACCAGTTTCCTAGGAGAAGCAGGTGGCTTAAATCACTTTCAACAATCAATTCTGCCATTTGAATGCAGCCTGACACTTGTCGAGTTCAGTCGATGACATGAAATCACAGTAGAAAGGCCAAACCCTAAGGGAAATTCACAAGCTTCTACATCTGCAAGTAAAACCACCTGAACTTGTGCCCATAACCTTCCCAACACCATGCCCTTAACTTTCTCAAATTAATTGATTTAGAAAAGAAATATTTTGTTCTATATTAATGAAACATAGATTGATGCCTAAGGCAAAAAAAAAATAAAGTAAATGCATTTAAAATAGCAACTGATGCTATTTTCTATAGAATAGTTGGAATTTGCCCCAGTAATTTCATCGACATGGTCGTCTCTAAGTGCACCTTGAAATAGACTATAATAACAACAACAGTAACAAAAACTTGTTGAGTGCTTACTATTTGTGTCACACATGCTGCTTGGTACTATCTGCCCCTAGAGGTGCAGAAATTATTATATTCATCCTATAGGTTAAAAAACTAAATAACTTAAGCAACTTGCTGAAGATGACACTATGTGAAAAAATACCCAGGATTTTTCTATACATTCATATTAATTATTTTTAAACATCAATAAAATATTTAGCATAGAAGCTCTAAAACTTGAACGAGATGATTGATGGGAAGTTTATTCTCCTATTTCCTTTTAGTAAATACAGTAAGTAGTTCATAAGATTACAATTAAGTGGTGAATTGACTGCCTGATCCCCATTCATAACCGTGTGGATAATTGTTCTAACTTATGTTCCCAGGACAAGGAAACTCCAGTTGCAAAATGAAAATAAAAATGTTTCTGTGACAGGAATAGGTTAGACAAAATGCTCTCCAAGGATTACCTCAGTTCCAAAAATGTATAATAATGTATGCATATGCATGAATAAGCGCTATTCTTGATGCAGCTTAAAACTTCGGTAAAGAGAATCCCCCCCCCCATTATTTTTTTAATATAAGTGAATCAGGAAAAGCTCAGAAAGGAGGTGACTTAGTGCCTGCCAATTTTCCAGCCTAGGCCACCTTTGAGGTAAAGCTGTTGCTGCCTTACAAAAATTCAGCAGCCCACTGAGATAAGATAGGACAAAGTTCCAAGTGAAAAAGACCACCTGGGTTCTTACCTGCTTTTACCTTCGTGGACACAATCACTATGAGTGATTCAAACAGGATTTCCCTAAGACAGCAGCTGGAGTGTATGGAGAGTTGTAACCAACTGAAGGTTTCAGGTCTATCTGAGAGCATGCGTGTACAACGAGACAATAATATTTGGGGCGGCACTTTCTGAAAACCATGTTTTACATGACACTATGATTGCCTCAGCAAGCAAACAAGACAGGGCAAAAAAGTGGATGCATCTCCACCAAATAGAGTCATCACATCCTTAAATTCAAATTGCCACAACATTTTTCTATACTAATACTGTTGATTTTATTTAGCTTTATTTGGAAGAGTGGGGGAGAAGGGCACAGTTTTGTACATTTACTTCCTTCAAACAATTAACATCTGTATGCTTTTGAAATAATTTTCAGCAGATAAAACAATCCTGCCAATGCCCAGTAAAAGCTCTCCATTGTTCCATGTCTGCACAAATTACTTTGCATCTCCGATGATTTTATGTACATTTAATCACTAAAGATTAATTACATGGCATACGGAAACCAGTGAAACACTGCAGAGATAACTTCAGTTTAAGTGCACATGCAGCTAACTTGTGGCTTTTTAGAACAATTTTAATTAAAAGTACTAGAAGAATCATCGGGCTGAAAATATTAGGAGCTCTGGGATGGATGAGCTTAGCATAGCTAATTAATTGTATATTTAATCAAAGCAGCCTTTGGCTGTAATTAATAAACTATTTTCCTCTGGTAATAAATATTTAGTTCTGTAAAACAGAATGTATAATTTCCAGAATGTCATATGCACAGAAGAATGGGACAGAAAATGAGCATTTCCACACCAGCTTTCAAGCCAAGGTTGATTTTGTTGATTTAGAGAGGATGTTGTCTATATCTTTTTCATTCATTTTAAATGTCATCTCATAGTGGCAGCTTACAAATAGCTATCCCTGAGTGACTTGGACATTTCAAAGGTGTAAAGAATAATCCAAAAGGAGAGACTAGTAGAATGCAAAATGAAGTCTGATTTTTTTCTTACACCACCAAGATCTCATACTTTAAAGAACTTTGGGTAGCTCCATCTTAATACAAACGCTAGGACAGTTAGACTTGGCATTAAACAGTTCCTTCCCTTCACTTCCTTTTAAATGACTGAATGAGACTCAGAGCTTTTCAACTCTTACAACCTGGTAAAATGCTCAAATCACAAAGCAAAGTTAAAACACGCTCTTCCTTGCAGCAACATGATGGCTTTTACTTTGAATAGTAAACACTCGTCCCCTCCCAATCTTCTCTGCTCTTAAGGTATGCTATCCATGATAAGAACAGCATAATTTTGCTCTTCTGACCCTTTTCTTAATTTTTGTGAAAGAAACTCTCTAACGGGAGGCAGTCATGTGCTTTTCATATTATCTAATAGTTCTTTCTTCTCCTTGTCTTCTTGAAAGCAAGATTTAAATTCAAGGGTTTTACATATAAAAGAAATAAGATAATAAGTTAATCTTAGATGATAAGTTTTCCTTACTTTTTACAGATGTTTTAATGTGTAAAACTTAAAAATTAACTATCATATTGCCATTGCTGTTTTATTTTTTGAGACTGTTACAGTAACAGGTGGGATTTAGAAGTTGTACATATTGAAGAACATGCATTTTGTATGCATCTGATGCAAGTGCTTGATACGCTAATCAATTCATAGCATAAATTCCATTTTTCTGGGGGTTATGTGGTCTTCATATGAATATGTATGAAAGAAACAAGTATAAATTAGGTTATTAAAATTATATCAAGTGAAAATATTTTTATTCAGTCTATACTGGGTGTTAATAAAGGTCTAGGAACCAGATACGGAATAGAATAAAACACAGAGGCAAAAATTTGCAGGTTTCACAAAGGCCACCAGTAATAACATATGATCAGAAGTAGCTCTTATTTAATACATGATAATGTATTCAATGCTTAATCAGTTTATAATATAATGTGTAATTTCCAATGACAATAAAACTATTAAAGACAATGATCCTAAAAACTGCAGAAGATAGTCTTGTCTTTTTTAGAATTGTGCCTTAGTTGGCCACTCTTGACACAGGCTCTCCCAGTGATCCACTAAAGTTATCTATGAAGGCACAGGCAAAAAACATTCACCCTGACAGGGAAAGCCAGTATTCATGGTTTTTGTTTTTTATTTTTTTGTTTGTTTGTTTTTGAGATGGAGTCTCACTCTGTGGCTCAGGCTGGAGTGCAGTGGCATGATCTTGGCTCACTGCAACCTCCACCTCACAGGTTCAAGCGATTCTCCTGCCTCAGCCTCTTAACTAGCTGGGTCTGCAGGGGTGCACCACCACACCAGTCCAATTTTTTGTATTTTTATTAGAGACAGAGTTTCACTGTGTTAGCCAAGATGGTCTCAATTTCCTGACCTCATGATCTGCCCTCCTCGGCCTCCCAAAGTGCTGGGATTAGAGGTGTGAGCCACCACTCCCGGCCAGGATTCATGGTTACCTTATTTGTCCCAATTTTCACAGAATTGTTCACTTACTAATTGGACTCGACTGACAGTTTAGACAACTTTCTCTGAGGACTCACATATTGGGATAAAATGGGCATGCAGTATGTACGTGTAATTTAACAGCTACCCCACTGGACACTCAGAAGAGTAATGTGGCAGATGTGCTACTACACTGTAGGGAACCCTCAGAGAGCCTGGTAGTGCTCATGCTTGCCTTGAAATGTTCTGTGCTACTTAGAGTACGGAAGCCTCCTCTGCTCTGTCTTGTTGGAACCCATGAAAGATTATTCTGACTCAGATATGAATCTGAGTTATGTACTTTCAGGGCTGAGAAGATGGACTTTGAAGGGTGAGATTGCACCAGTAGTTAGAAGATGGGAATTTCTTGAAATGTGTGGGGAGAATTGCATAGTAGAAGTTCCAAGTAGAGGACCTTGTTCCAGCCTGGGTGACAAAGTGAGATCCCCTCTCTAAAATCAATAAGCCAATAAATTAATAAATCAATAAAACGAAGGATGTTGAAGAGCAACCAGCCTCAAGACAAGAGAGTCTTGGGACTCTGAGGAACTCATGAGGAGGTGCTCCTGTGGGGGAGATAACATATAACAAATGCAATAATAAATATAAAACATACTATAATATATAATATATGCACATATATAAAGAGTAATTAATATGTGAGATAGAGTAGGAAGTCAACAAAATACACAAATTATTTCTAATACTTTGTAATCGACATGGCATTCCAAATAATTTTCTTTCAATGTTTGTCTGCAAATAATTACGGCCCATTTAGACACGCTGAGAAAGCATGCTTGCAAATTTTTGGGTGGTATAGATTTGAAGGAGCAGAATACTATACACAAAAAGCCTTGGATTCATGGTCAGAAGACTTAAATAGTCTTTCTAGTTTCACCATTTGCTACCAATGTAGACCTGGAGAAAACTCTCTTAAGCTCTGGAAACTTCAATCCATGGTAAGTTTCAAACACATGTGAAGTCATCAAAGATGAGGGGAGTTAGTCTTGATATCTGCAATTTATCTGGCAATTTATATGTTAATTATCACTCCAATATTTATTTCACTGCTCACAGGAGTTTTAAGTATTATCCACATCTTAAATAAGAGGCAAATATTGGTTTAATTGATTTTTTTTTACTAAGGTCACACAACAAGTGGTAAAGCTGAGATTAAAAGTCTTGACTTTTAATGCCCAGATCAGTTAATTAATCACTGTACAGTATATAGGAAATGGTTGTTAATTTAAACTCAATATGTTTTCAGCAAAATTACTTATCAAAGAAGTCAATGATAACAAGAAGCCAGAATCTATTATTGATTCTCAAGCTCTAATGACTATATTTGATTTGAGTATTAATAGAAACCAGAGCCCAGAACTATTGGCTGAACTTGGCCCTTGTGAAATACTCAATTTGCAGGTTATGGCTAATTGGTGTCAACATTAAAGTTTTATTGATGTCCTAGTCTTATCAAATGACAGCTTCGCAAGGTAAGAGTTCTCTTTTGGAAAAAAAAAAAAAAACCTGGAAATCTCAGTAAAATATTTAAGCTTTATGAAGTCTAAATCTTTCAAAATAAAATAATAAATTTTGTTTAGAGAAGGACGAGTTGACTGCCCCTCATTGCTTATACTAAACACTGCATGTAAAGTGCTGAGATTCCAAACATAGAGGTAAGTTCATCTACTGCTCCATTACCCTCATGATTACTCTAATACAAGGTGCACAGAGAGGAGCAGCTGTGGGAATTATTTCCTAAGTGACTGAACTTCTTGTTGAATATTGCTAGAACCTTTAGTCTGGGATTTCTCAACTGCAGTACTGTTGGCATTTTGGGCTGGATAATTCTTTGTTGTAGCAGGCTGTCTTCTGCATTAAGGATGTTTAGCAACATCCCTGGCCTTTACCCACTAGATGTCAGAAGCACACCTCTGCCCCCACCCAAAACATCTCCAAAAATGTCTCCAGAGAGTGCCAAATATTCCCTAGACTAGCAGAGGTGTCCAACCTTTTGGCTTCCCTGGGCTACATTGGGAGAAGAAGAATTGTCTTGGGCCACACATAAAATACACTACCACTAACAATAGCTGATGAGCTAAAAAAATCTCAAAAAATAACCTCATAATTTAAGAAAGTTTACAAATTTATTTTAAGAAAGTTTATGCATTTGTGATGGGCCACTTTCAAAGCTGTCCTGGGCCGTATGCAGCCCATGGGCTGTGGGTTAGAAAAACTTGCCCCGGAGGGTGAGATCACATCTACTTGAGAACATTTACTTTAGGCTTCCTTTGAGTCACAATTTACTCCATTAAGATTGAAGAATGCTGGATCTAATCGGGACCTGGTTTTCCTATAAGAGAGATAAAACACTATAACACAGAAGTTGAAGGATAGAGCTTCACCTCTGTTTCATGGATTATTGTTTTCATTTTATATTTTAAAGGAAAAAATTGACTTGGATTATATCTGAATAAAATAGCAAGGAATATTACTTAACAGAGCTTCATTTTTTTTCCCTCCAGCCCGGAGAAGTTAACTGTGATGTTGTCGTTCTTCCACTATGGCATTGTCCTGGTGTACAGCCTCAGAAGCTGTCATTGTCTATCAGTGACTACACGCCAGGTTTCTTGAGCTGCCATTAATGAGATAAAATTATTCTTTGATGGCAGTGGCCATATGACAAGGATTGAGAAGACAAGGATCCCTGGATTCCAGAGGATTGTCACTTAGTTATTTCAACAAATAGCGTGTTTCAATAAATTTTCCACATAGATCTTATCTTCTATCTCTTATTTAATATTGTAATTTCCTCTAAACTTAAGTTTTCCAAATCCTTCTCAAGTAGTGATAACCTCAAGTATAACATTTGACTCTAATGCACACCCTAATAAATAATAACGTAAACACTGTTAATATGCACTGAAAACTGTTCGAGATTCCATGTGCTCTTCTACAAATGCTCTGCTTCATGTTGATTATCCGTACACTTCACTGACTTGGGTCAGGATTTAGGATGCTGGATAATGGAATGTGGAGGAGATGGCAGAGTATAGTTTTGCACGGCTAAAAGGCAGTGATACATTGCCGGATTAAAATAATACTTTGTAACATTTGTTCTGAAAATAGTACTTGACTATTTGGTGCTCCTGACATGACTGCATACTGTTATTTTGGATGCCTATGGAAAGAAACACAGCAGACTCATTGCTTATTCATTCATTCATATATAATGCATTTCTTTCTAGATTTAAAAAGGATACATACATATGTGTTTTCAAAAAGGCTATAAAAGTCAATTACTATGTTTACCGAATGAAGAACTACTTTCTTAAGTTTAACTCCAATTTGGGAAAATTCTCACTTTAAGAAGCAGTAGACATTTTCCATCTTTCCTCATTAAGGGTGGCTGAGCACGATGTGGAAAGAGGTGATCAAGTGTGACAGAATCTGTGCTTTGTCTATACCAGTTGCTTCCACTACAATTTTAATTGCTAGATATCAGGGCTTCAGATACTTCAACTAGATGTCAAGAGACAAGCCTTATGAATTAAAGAATATTGTTGGTATATAACCAAACATGTAAATAGACACTTTGCATAATTAGCTAATTTTTAGAAGCCAACATATTTTTAGAGTTCTCAATATTGAACACTTTTTAATACACATAGTTGAGGTTCTCTGTTTATAGTGTTTCAACTTCTATTCTATTTAGAGCTGGTTACAGTAGAATCAAAGGCAAATGATGTTATTAAAACTCAAAGCTAACAGTTATAATTTACATATAATTAGATGTTGAGACCTTTCTAGTGTGCAATGTTATGCTCCTGTCAAAGCACTGGGAATGCTAATTAAAATGGAAAATTAGGAAATATTTTTCCTGAGTCTGGGATTAGTTTCTTCCTCCTTTTTTCCCTTCCGTTTTCATCATGAATTAAAAAAAAAAAAATTATTGGGCACCAGCCATGTGCCAGACCTTGTTCTAGGCACTGAGATAATGTCAATGAACAAGTCAGACAAAATCTCTGACCTCAGAGTGTTTACATTTTAGTAAGGCAGACAATCAATGTAAAAATACTTCAATTAATTTTAATCATATGGAAAGTTGATTATGTGTCAACTGCTATGAAAAAAATATAAAACAATGAGAAGAATTGGGGCAGGAGGAGGGGAGTTGTAGTATTTCTTTTGTGGTCAGTGTAGGTCTCACTGAGATGGTGCTAGACATTGGAATGAAGATTTAATTAAGAGGTAAGGAATGCTCCTGCCGCTAGCTGGAACCTAAGGAGAGAAGCAGCCATGGCAAAGGCCCAAGGGTGGAAGCATTCCTGACACATTTGTGTACCCCAGGGAGGAAGAGAGAGCAGAGGAGGGTGAGCAGGGGAGAGAAGTAAGAGATGAGCTCACAGGAATCGGACACCTAGGCCACTATGTGGACAGGGACTTTTACCTTGAGTTGATTTCCCATGACACACAACTTTCCGAGAAAGCTCTCCCCCCTTTTCTTACTCTGATTTTTTTTTCTCTATTTTCATCATTCACATTCCCATTTGGTCAATCTGCCTCCTTCCCTCTCTGCCATTGCTTGCACTTTCCCAGCTGCTACCTTCTCATATTATTGCTATTTCTCTTGCAATCTTCAGGTAGACTGTCCACAGAAATCATAAACCCTCATTCACTGGGTTCTTACTCTGTGCCCAGCATGATGCATTATATAGAATCTTGTTTGATTCCACTTTTGCAATAACTCCCTTATGTTGGGCATTATTACTTCGCCTATTTTTTGCATGACAGAGATGAAGTTTACATATCTTGGTTTATGTTATATAAAAGCAATGAGGTTTGAACCCCAGTTAGGCTGGCTCCATACACAAGATAACACCAAGTTACATTGTTTCCTGTGTTTTTGTATCCCCAACTCAATTCAAAAAGTATCTCAAACATTGGATTTAACAAAACGGGACTCCCATATTTATTTTTTTCAGTGTTAGATTTAAACTGCCCTCAATATTTTAATGTCTTTTACAATTTCTCTGTCCAGTGGTCATCCAGCCTGTACACAAAAACTCCTAGCAACAAAGGGCTGAAATAATGTTTTTAAAAAATATGTAGAACTATGCTATAACATAGGTCCATGATAATCTATTATTCCGCCTTACATAAAACTGGAAACTATTGATTGTGATTTTTCACATAATAATATTGAAAAGCTACTGTCACCTTTCCATTTTTTCTTCTTTCCTAAACAGTATGTTGTCTTAGTCTATCTCAGTAAGTGTTAAATTTTTTAACTAATTTAACAGCATACCTTTAGGTGTATTTCTGGTTAAATTGTTTTTTGAGACTAAGTTGTAGCAAAGACACATACAGGAAATGGTAAACTGTCTTGCCTTTATTTCTATTTCAAAACAAACACAAATAGTAAATTAAGGACCAATAAATGATTTCTGGATTTTAATCATGTCAGAGAACAAGAATGACTCATCGTTTATTTATTTAAAATAGTTTGCTATAATTATCATAGATTTTTAAATCCAAAATGCTGATTCAATTATATTCCAGGTAATAAGCTATTTTTGTTTTCTTTTTTCCATATAACCTCATATAGAAATAAAACAGAGCAGGACTCGGAAGAGAGAGAGGGAGAGAAAGAAAGAAAAAGAGAGAGGAAGAGAGAGAAAGAGAGAAAGATTATGAGCAATTCTAGATTTCAGTGGTTAATAGTGGTCTCAGATATGTGACAGTAAGAATAGCAACACCTCCGGTGAGTCCTGGCATGCTGGGAATTTCCTGACTTGTCATTTCCGTACCGGAATTGAAACACAGGAATAGCTAGTCTCTAAATTCTAGTCATCTCAGGATAGGTATAGGGGTACACAGTGTCTGACTTGCCTTGCACCAAATACAGAATAATGCATTTTGCCTGCCCAGGGATAGCCTTCTTCTTGTTCGCTCAATGACCTCCTCTGCCACAGTGCCTGAAAGTCCTCCCTTTCCCTCTACTTTATCCCTCAATTAGAAAACAAACAAGCACATCTTTTCTGGAAATACAACACATAGTATTAGCATTTACTGCAACTTACTGTAGATGTGTTTGTCAGATCAACTAATATCAGAACTCTGGTACTCAGAAACCTGGGTCCAGAGCAAGTATGTTTTTTCCCTGAGGAGGCTGAGGTTGGAGAAAAGTGGCAGATTGTGAGGCATGGGATGGATGATTAGGGAGTCAGACCCAGGAAACATGGTAAGGACCAGCCTTGGACAGCCAGAGGGAGGTTACAATCTAAAAGACGCAAGTCACTTTGTTGTCAGGATTGTAGGCAACCCTGACCTACTACCTGATATTCTTTGGTGTCTGATGTCCTGTAATGAGGGAAAACGTCAACATGCCCACAAAGACTATTAGGACAAGAAGCTTCATCTGTGGGTTAAGGAGACAGAATCATAAGGGTTACGTAAATAGCCCAAAGATACACTGTTAAGTTTACAGCAAATCTGGGCAACAGAAATCTATCTGGTCTTTGGACTCCTTGGTTTGGTCAGGGTTATATGAGGTGAGATGGAAATATAGAAAACAATGTTTCTAATAACTGACATTAATAAAGCACGTACTATTCACAAGTGTTAAATATCCTGTATGCATTCAGCATTTAGTAAGTGAAAAACCTCATTGTGGTGGGATGCTCCTATTACGTTTTTGGGGCAGGTGAGAAACAGATGCAGTGATTTTAAGTGACTTACCTAAACTCACATAGCTAGCTCAGGAACAGTCAGGATTTGAACAAAAACTCTTAGTGACTTTACTAACATGCCAAAAGGCACTAAGGTTAACAATATCAAGTTAGTTGGTTGGTTGCAGTAAGAAGAAGCCAACACATAAATAATGTTTTCAATCCTGCAATTTTGAGAAAGGTAGGTTTCAAGTTCAAAAATTCACATAGATTTACTTTGATCTCTTATGATTATTTGAGTATTTACAAATATCTTTTCTCAATTTCACCTTGTCCCTCAACTTGTGAGGAAAAATCCTCCCTCAATTTTGCTATAGGACACTAATAAGTTCTCTGTGTGATAGAGATCATTATTCTCTTTCATTTAAAAACAAGTTGATAAACTTTATTAGAGTATCTAACAAAAAGGAGGAGTAGAATCTTACACACAAACTCGAGATATTTTCATCTATTTAGGTATTTGAAAAATGTATGATTTTTTTCAGAATGGAATCCAGGTTAAATTTAACAAAGGTAAAAGATGAGCACAACAAATTTAGATTAAAAGAATGTAAGTTCACATGTCAGATGAAGAGGGCTCTTTTCTCATAAATGCAATGTGTGTACTACTGGACTATGCATTGAGCCAAAGAGAATTTCTACTTGATTGGTTGTTTATTTCTTTCCTTTTCAAGGCCACATTGGAGCAAAGGCTAGATGCTTTAATAAGCTGCCCAAAATCTTTAAAAAAAGACTAGCAGTAAGATGCCATAATTTATGGATCCTGACAAGAACCATTAATTGTCACTGTGTTGTTATCATTTGAACTCATACAGTCGATTTAGTCTATGTTCTTGTGAGATCTGGGAAGATCATTAAAAGAAGCTGGAGGCTAAGCACAGATAATAGGAGTATTTTAATATTTTTGATGCTTTTACAAAGGAATAGCGTTTCTTACATCAATTCTACACATTGCTCTGAAGCTCCCTACATGGGGTGGGGAAGGGTTGGGAATCTCAGTCACTGTCTCTTTTCTGCTTCCTGACTGCTTCCTCTCCCACCCTGCAAAAAGAGAGATTTAGGATCCTGTTCAAGCCCTGTGGCACCATAAGAATCCTAAGAAATTTCAAAAGAGATATATTATTTTTCACTCTTCTTGATATCCTTCTCTTTTAGTAAGCTTACTGTGTAGGATCTTGTGTAAGTTCATAGACAGAATGAAAATGAATTGCTACTTTTTGATAACCTTAAAAAAGGAAATTGAAAAATGAAGAAGAAATAATCAACTTTGGTTGTGGAGGTCACCTACTATCTATTCTTTCATAAAGAGGGGAAAATATAAAAGGGTAAGAATATTTAAAGGCTGAGCTGGAATATAGGCTGTGCTTTAGATCTCATGTAAATTATGTCTCCTGAAAAATTCCACTTCATGACTGCTTCTCAAATGCCACATGTAATATATATTATATATAATTTTTAATATCAATATGAATTTTCTCAAAAAGTTAAATATTTTTGTTTATATAAATACAAATAATTGCATAATATTAAAAATGTTCTTGAAACACTGAGGGTTGATCCTGGGCTAACCTCTGATGGATGCCCTGCTTCCCCCATTCCCTCATACCCAGCCTCACTCATCAGAAGGCCAATACACTTGTGCCATCCTTGCTACCTTTCTCACTATACACTAGGTATACTCTCCTATCCCATTCTAGTTGGTTTTCTTCTTCTATAATGTATCATTAAAATGTTCTTCTCTGAGACTCAGCTGAGGTACAGTAGAAAATATACTGATCTTAGCCTTATAAAACGGACTTAAATCTCAGCTCTCTTATTTACTTAAATTTGATAATGCCCTAATGTCTCTAAGCCTCAATTTCTTCATCTGTAAAATGGGAGAATAATATTAATCTTACAGGACTTTTATGAGAAATAAATAACTCAACATATATGACAGAAGCTGATATGGATCCTGCCACTTTAAGTACTTAATGATTGTTAATTGAATGTGAATCTTACCTGGTGACAAATACTATTGGTTGGCTAGCCAACAGTTATTTCCCTCTTCCTTTTTTTCCTTGTTGTAGAATCCAAGTTCTCATCCTAAACTAAATATTTCAGATTTTTCTTTTCCAACTTCCTTGATAGCTACAAGCATATACAATCCTACACTGGTCCAAAGTATTTCTGTGGGAATCTGCTGAGGCATATCTAGGATTTTTCATTTTGATATCAGAGAGAGATGACAAGGAAAACACCTTCTCTTTCTTTCCACCTTAGGTTTTGCTGCGTGAAGATGTGATGCTTACAGCTGTGGCAGCCCCTTTGTGACAATGAGGAAAAGTCTAAAAGAAAGAGAAGGCAACCCAATGGTCAGACATCAGTGATTCACTGATCCAAGCTAGGAACAGTTATTTGTGGAATGTTTTGATATGATCAAAATGAATTTGAAGTCCTCTATTTAATCCATTTTTCGTGGGGTATGTTAGTTGTTGCCAAAAAGCATTAAAAATGCCAAAACTAAAGAAAGTCTTTAAAAAGTATTGTTATAATTAAATTATTCTTCTTAATCGGGTAAATTGATCATGGTTATCTACAAACATCTAGTAAATGCTTACTCTACATAGAGAAATGTAATATATACTACATTGGCAAATAAATATAAGATTTAGTTTCTGTCTGGAGAGGCTCTCGATTTAGTTGTAGAGATTGGACATGTACATAAAAAAGATAAACAATAATGTAATATAGCATATACTAAGTGAGAAATTACTAGTGCAAACAATCAGTGTGGGCTGAAAAAACTCTCAAGATTACTGAGGATCAGGGAAAACTTTACAGAAGACTTGGATTTGAGCTTGTTTTGAAGGGAAGTTTAAGGAACATGTTTTCAAATGGAAAATAAAGAGAAAGCCAGAGAAAGATAGCTGGATCAATCACATACAAAAAGGAAGACTTTTGGTATGATAAGACTAATTTACCAGATTCAAATTTTCATATGGAAAAACAGGGAGAGGGAGTAAGGGGCAGATTGTGGGGGTTTAAATGCCAAGTTAATAAGCTGGACTTGGTTGTTTGGCAGGAGGGTTTTGAGCAAAGAAGTATATGTAGCTTCATTCTTGAGAAAGAGTAATTTGGTAATATTCTTTAGGCTAGGTTGGAAGGAAGAGAAACTGAGGATTGGAGAGCAAATGAGGTGAGTGTCTAATTATGGGTGGTCAGACTGGGAAGAGAAAAAACAGAGATGACTATGAGCTGCTCCTGTTATGATGGGTGATAGGTTCCTATCACTGATAGGTTGGTACAAATGGATAGATCATGACATGGCTCACAGGCAGCAACCGCTACAGGAGAAATATGAGGCATTATGGGAAATGGTGAGATAGATATAGTTTGGGGTTCATGCATTTGGAGAAATCCTTACACCACACTTTCCTCATGTGCAGCTTAATTCATTTATACAGAGGGGGGAAAATGAAGATGTCTAAAATATAGCCTATTAGAAAAAAAAAAACCCTGTAATTTAAGGCTTTGTTTTGGCTTTTATACTTAATTTATCTGACATGTAGTGTTTTAGTTTATCAAACAAAATAATTTTGATTTAGTCATGTTTTGAAATTATATTCTGTATCACCTGCTGAAATCGTATTTATTCTTAATTCTATAGAGTATCAGCATATTCACCTAGACTCACATTTGAGTTGAATAGAATGTCTCTTTCTATTCCTACTCCCCTATCTTGCTTTCTGTTGACAATCTGAAAAAAAATCTTCCAGGAGAAGAGAAGGTAAGAAATTATAAAATATTTATATGAAAATCTGCATTTGGTAACTAAGCCTGATATTGGGAAAAAATTAATAGCAATGTTGATTTGTTTATATGTTTTCGTTTATTATATTCCTTCAAGCTTCATTCATGTAGAAGTAAATACATTGTAGAAACTGTCCCACCAGGCATTTGGGATATGAAATAAAACCCACTACTGTTAGCTTTATATCCTCAAAGCATGTTATGTTTTGATGTCCAACCCAGAATCAGTCTCTAAAAGATCAAAACCTCAGAAAGATCTCTTACTCCATTGAACATCTATATTCGTAATATAATAAATAGATATAGAACAAAGAGGTGGGAATACATTTTATTTCAAATATCAACTTGACTATGCATAATATTCCAGCCACTTGGTGACTGAGCAATGAACTAATGTGAGATTTGCATGTATTGTGATCAAAACTAGAATGAGGTGACAAGCTAGCTTCACTTAGAAAGGACTCCAGGCCACAGAGACAATAAACAGGCCAGCTGCTCTCTCAACAGGTGGCAGGTGAAAGAAGATGATTATCGTGCATGAGAGAAGAAATTGCTAATATTTCCAAATCATGCCCATGAACTTTTAATTATAATAGCTAATTTAGAGAGGAAGAATTCTACACCAATATTTCATGAGCATTATACAGACTTAAAATATGCAAAGAATTACATCTCTTTACAAGACATGAACCATCTTGTTTCATGAAAATTACATTAATTCATTTGATTTAGTTTTATAAAGTTATGGACCAATGATGTTCATTCACATTTAATATAATAGCTATTCAGAGTAGATGAAACAGTCAGGTGGATCAAATGAGTGGTTTTAAGGATAAAAAGTATTTTAATATGTGCATACATTAATTAAATCCCACATTTCTTACATTTTCTGGGCTCTCATATTCTTTAGTGCAAATTTGTTATTGATATCTTGAACAAAGAGACATGTCCACATGTTTCTATAAAGAGATCTATACACATGGGTATTCTGGAATTTCTCTTGTGAAGTCTTTCTTGCATCTAACCATCTTTCCAGAGAGGAAGCTCTTTTCTCTGTGCACAGCAGGAACTCATGTGTATGGAGTTCCTTTGAACTGATGATGATGGCAGTGATTACGATTCCCATGCAACTTAGAGAACTGCTACTTCAATTTAAACGATTTCTTCTTGCTCACTCTTCAGTGAAAATAGTGAGCAGCTGGTTAACCTCTTTCATAAAATAATCCCATGCACATGAGGAGTTATTCAATCATTCTCTCAGCCATAGAAGAATTTTGAAGTAATAATGGAACCAAGTAAAAGTGAATGGATACATAGTATCATAATACTATCATAACTATATTCACTGATCTATTGGACTGTAGAAAAAAGAAAAAATACTGTGTCATCTACTTTCGTTTTCTGACAAATCAATACTATTCCAATCTCAAGAGGATGTCAGCTTTTCTTTCTATCAATAAAAAACAGATACCCACATCCAAGTCAGGATATGATTACATTCTTTTATCTGTCCCCTACTGTATCTCATTAATATGTCATTGGTAAAAGTCATTATTCCTAATCCTGGACTCTTCCTGTCAATTGTGATATTGAGTATTTGGATGGATTTCATTAACAAGAAAAAAAACTTACTTTTTTTCACAACTACTTGAATTTATTTTGGGAAGGGAGAAAAAGATTGCTTTGGTCTTTATTTTCTCAACTCATGAAAAACTAAAAACACTATTATTTTCCCTTAGAATTTTGATTTGGAACATCTCTACAAATGCTGAAGCTTTGTCATTTTATGTGTGTTTCTGAAGTAATATGGTTTTAACAGAGTTTATCAAACATTAGCATAGCTTCATCAATTTTTCCTAGGAGAACTCCCTGGATATCAGGAACAGTGTGTGTTGTGTTGTGTGTATGTGGTGTGTGTATGTGAAGGGCCCAAACTCATTATGATTATAAAACATCTTAGGATTTTCTTTCTAAATATCATTATTAGGTCATGTTGTCATCACAGTTGTATTTGTTCCTCCATATAAAAGGACTTTTATAAAACTGTAGAGAATGGGAGGAAAAGTTTGTGTCTTGTCAGATTTTAGTTTGTGTCTTGGCTTCATTTAAATTGACAACAGGTGAAAATGTTTTTGAACATTTTACATATTATAATAGGAATAGTCTCTGCTCTTTTATTTTTTTGTAACAAATGAAAACCAGCTTCTCAAATACCAGCATAACTCAAACTAATGTATATATGTAAGTATATTTAATTTTACAGGCTGGGTGCAGTGGCTCATGCTTGTAATTCCAGCACTTTGGGAGGCTGAGACAGGCGGATCACCTGAGGTCAGGAGCTGGAGATCAGCCTGGCCAACATGCTGAAACCTCGTCTTTACTAAAAATACAAAAATTAGCTAGATATGGTGGTGCATGCCTGTAATCCCAGCTACTCGGGAGGCTGAGGCACGAGAATCGCTTGAACCTGGGAGGCGGAGGTTGCAGTGAGCCGAGATTGCACCACTGCACTCCAGCCTGGGTGACAGAGTGAGTCTTCGTCTCCAAAAAAACAAAAAACAAAAAAATTTAATGTATTATTAGTGTAATAACATTTAAGGTACCTATGAGATAAAATATATTATTGGGGGACACAGAACCAGTGGTCACAAAGACCAAAGCAGCCACATTTGTCCTCTTATCTATATCATGTAGATTAATTCGCTCACTGATAAGCAAGAGAATAATATGATGAAATAAATTTAATGCCATACTTACAGTGGATGGCCAACATGTCAACAATGCCAAAGGTTTAAGGAAAAATTGTCTCTTACCTGAAAAATGCAAGAAAAATCCAAAGATAAGCATTTCATAATCAAAATCATTACCACATGCATGGTAAAGGCGCCTGTGGGCTTTTCATAATGTCATGTTTATTCTAGGATATTTTTATTTGGCTGTTTTGTGCGGAGTTGGTCTGTTCACCAAATAACCATCATTTATATTTATATTCATATTGTACATCATGCCAGTTTTGAAACCATACTAAAAAAGGCTTATGTTTTTGTGGTTCTGTAGTAAAAAGAACCTTTTGCTGATGGCTGCTACCTTCTAAACAATGGAAATAAACAAAAGGAATTAAAATACTCAAACTATGCCACAATTGTCCCCAACCCAAACCACATCCATCCTTTTCACCATCCTTTTCGGCTGTCCTTAACAGACATGTGCCAACCTCTTTTCTAGACAATTTCACCTTCAATACTGCTGAGAATCTGCCCACTAATGACCATAATGAAACATGCTTTGTGTGAGAGCCTGTTCATTTATTTTCATTCCCGTGAGTGCCTTCAGAGACCAGAGTTGCAATCACGGCTACTTACTATTTAATTCCCAGCCAAATTTATGGTCAAATTGAAAAATGGAGGCAGGCAGCCTGATGTAGGATGCTTTTGTCTGAAGTGTCCTTATGGAATCATTATACTTGCATTAATCTTTAATCTGCAATTAAACAATCAGTCCTATGTAAAAGATAGCTGCAAACAGATCCCCTGCATGTGTCCTAGACAATATATCTTAATGGGAGGTGTAGAGGAAGGGTGAGAGTTAGGTGTAATTAGGACTAAATTTATCATGGATCCTGCTTCAGCGGGAGGTTATTTATGGAGCTGAAAGTTGCTCATGCAAAATGACTTTTGTATATTCAGATCTTCACTAAATAGCCTCCTTGTCTTACAGTGTGGGGGACTGCAGAATAACAAAACACAAATGCAAGCGTGAGGAAGAGGGGAGGAAGCTTGGCTTGACTGATAAATGTCTTGGCAGAAATTGTAACCTGCCTTGCATCTGCAGCTTCCCAATTAAGAGGACTGCTTTCCAGCTTCCACAGATGCTTAATTGGAGATCGAGGCCGCCAGGCAGGCATGGGAACCACCATCATTATCAGGTGGTTTGAGGACGTTAGGTGCTCAGGCTTGTCAATTTCCTTTCACTATCAGAGCTGTCAACAATGTGTCACCTTTCTGAAAGAGTGAAACACCTGGATAAGAGGAGCTTTTCATAAATACAACAAACAAAGCTCTTAGAGTAGACCAAAGGTTTCAGGTGTTCCTCGGGTAGGAGCATTGGGAAGGGGAGGCTCTATAGGCCTTTCTGTCTGGCAAAAACAAACATTAGATGAGGGCTAAGTGGGTGAAGCAGTATCAAACAAAAAGGTCATCTGTTTCAGTTTTGAGTGGTCACCTAATTCAGCTTTTGTAAAGAATGGCATTTAAACACTAGTTAATTTTAAGTCTCATTTAACAATTTACAATAAAAATGAGATACAAACCTCCTATTTTTAATCTCTAATTGTGATTCTACCCCTAGTTTGTTATGCTGTTTCTTTAGCAATGCATACATAGCATGGAAATGAGTAGTGTCAGTCAATTTTGCAGGAACAACTATTATTACACATGTAAAGTCAACCTAACAAAGAGAAACAAATCAGGGAGGTAATTTTTATTTCAACACCTTGTTTCTTTCTTTATATACAAAGTTTTCAAAATCATAATCATGTACTTACAGGGATACTAAAAGACTAACTTCAGAGTACTTTGGGATCTCAAAGGCTGTCAGTCAACAAATGGCATTGGGATATGCTCCCTGTGTGTGTATGTGTGTGTGCACAAGTGTGGTATGAATGGAGGTTTGCTGGGTGCTAAGGAGGATTTTTGGATGTTGGAGACACAATATCCTCAAGGAGCTGAAATTCTTTACATGTGGAACTATAGCTTAAAATACCAAGTAGCAAGTGCCAAAAAATGGTACAGACAACATTTACTCCCGGAGGTCAAAAGAAGAAAACAAAGGGGAGGACAGCAAAGGAGATAAGTAGAAAGGGATCTGTAAATATTGTGTTCAAGATATCATCCAGGCATTGAACATTTCTAACACATCTCAAATACTACATGCATACAAAAGGAATTATGGTTTTCATGAAATTATGTATAAAAGAAATAAACAAAATTTGAGCGCTAATATTATGCCATTGACTTGCTCTTTCAGAGTGGTTTAGATCCAGGAGAACACAGGGCCAAAATACTTTGCTATTTATAATCAAGAAATAAAAGTCACTTTGAGTACGTGAATGTTCTTATGAGAATTTTCTACAATACCATTTAAAGCTGCAAAGAATGTGTTTCTCCACATCACTTATAGCCTAGCAATCAAGTGCTCTAGATAAACATAATTAATGCCATGAAAGCAATAGTCATATATTGATTCTAACTACTGAACCATTAAGACAATTCTAAGGTAATATTTTGTTAAACATCCGGTGATTTATTTTACCCTACAATTTTACAGGCTGCAAATTTCAGATTTTATTAGGAAAAGATAGAGCTGAGACCATAATCTCCAGAAAAAAGAGAAATATGATACCTGGTCCTCATTTTTCTACAATTTTCCTTATAGACTCAAGAGCATGGCTATTATTAACTATCTAGATAATTCTTATTCATTCAATCATATTTATTGAGCATCTATTATGTTACTGGGTGCTGTGTTAGGCAATGAGGATTCAAAGGGATGAGAGAACCTAGAAATCACTTCTAGGTAGGAGAAACAGAAACACAGACACATTATTATGATATACTGTAACCACACTATTGAATATAAGTACACCCAATGTACAACGGGAAATTCAGGTATCTATGTCCAGTAATTCTCTAGATAGTTCTACTTGCATTTTCCAGCCTGGGCACAAAATCTGCCTCAAAATATTCCTTGCAAATTTCTTTTATATCCGATAGTTTTATTTTAATTCTAGCTAGTCAGAATCAATTGTGCATCCTCAGAGTCAAATATTTTTCTTTCACACCTATGTTTCATATTTAATTAGTTCTCACATCTGCTTTATTCTTCCTTTGTAGGATGTCCCACAGTTTTTTTCTGTGTCCTCACCAATTCTGCCCTAATCCAGGCCTCAGTCATCTCAGATTAAAATGATAGCCATAATCCTCCACCCGACTTCCCATTGAAGTATTTAATAATGCTTGCAAGCCACTTTGCATAGATGATTATCCTGCTCAAAACCTTTAGTGTCCCTGAGATCCCCAGTTTCACAGCTATTAGAAGAGTGCATAAGAACACAGACCCTAGGGCAAAGCCTCCTGTGTTTGAGTTTCAACTCCATCGTTTACAAACTGTAAGACTTTGAGCAAGTCAGGAAACCCCTGGGTACTTCATTTAGCTCTAACAGAAAGTGAGAATAATAATAGCACACTCATTGGGTTGTTGTGTAGTTTAAATGCATTCATTTTTGCCAAGTGCTTAGATCTGAGCCTGTTGTATAATAAATGCTTTATGAGAGATTAAAAATAATTTTAAAATATAGCCTTTGACAAGACACTTAACCTCTCTGGATCTCATTTTCTCATCTGTGCAATTGATAATTTCTTCAGTTGGGTAAAATTGAGAAGTCATATGTCAGTGTCTGACACGTAGTACATACTCAGTATGTGGTGGCTATTATTGGTTGTGATGCAAAGACCTCAGCCTAACATTGAGGACTAGACAGAAACTAATTAATCTTTCTCATTTATCCCCCACTGCATTTAATCTTCACTTTGGCTGGACAATTTCTTATCCTCTTCACAGGCCATAGGCACCTCTGTGCTGTTCTTTTAGTTACACTGTTTCTCCAGCCTGAGTATCTTAACTTTTATTTTGCCATTCATCCAAATTCTACCAGGTGTTCAAATCTCCATTCAAGGCTTACCCATTTTCAGTGAAGGTTTTTCCTAAAAACTCTGATTCTCAAAGACTTTCCTAAAAATTACAATACTAAGTATTTTGGTTGCTTTCAAAGACTTTATTACACAATATTTATAACTTGGTCACTTAGTAGGTTGGGTTTTATTGGATATCAGGAGGGGCACTGGGGACAGCTCCACTGGATATAAGAGGTAGAGACAAAGATCAGATGTTGGAGATAGCGGGCAGTGGGTGGGGATAGAGACAGGTGCTTAGTAAGCAGGTCACCAGGGCCACAGCTGGAGAGATAAATACATAACAAGAGATAATCAACAGGAGTGCAAGCTTGAATCAGCATGAAACATGCAGTGTGTGCAGTTTCCATGGGGCCCATGGCCAGAAGTTAGAGAAATCTGGCAGGAACACTCAGAAGTGTTCTTGGGAGATACAGTGGGGATGCCATGGCTCTTCCTGAAATCCTGAGAGCTTATTCCTGCCCTTGAACTTCTATTGGTTTTATAGGAAAGGCTCTTGGAACCCCAGCACCTGAGCACAATCCCATTCTAAGATTTCCTGAGTGGTATCATTTAAATTTACAGGTATGTATGGTTTGTTATGGTTTGTTCCTATTGTAAACTCTCTTATGACAAGGACCATGCATTACTCTTTTTGAATCCTTGCATCTCCCCCTTTATAATTTATGACCTACTCTTAATAAAAAATAATTGTGGTATTATGTTGGTAACAGGCTGAATCATATGGTATTGCCAATTTGTGATCACTTTTTGACCTCTAAAAATGGTGATTTCATAGGGTCAGTTAAATATATTTTATCTATTCCATAAGGCTTTACTTAAAAAATAAAACAAAACTGTAATATCTTACCCAACTTAAGAGGCTAAAGTGACTCCCAACTTCTTTTGTCTTTTCTGTTCTGAAATAAAGTGTATTTGCATTCTATCCACTTACTGGCTGCTCAATAATGGCATGCTTAGTTAGCTACATTGCAAAGATTATTATGTAAAAACCTAATACTTTAACATTTTGGTTGTTGCTAGTAAAAATAACTTTAAACTAGTAAGGTCCAGAGCAAGGGATGTGATGTTCAATTTCTTAGTTTCACATATGATTCCACTAGTTAGCAGGGCAATGCCTATGGGAAAGTTATTTAGCTATTCTATGCCACAGTTTTTTAACTGTTAAAGTGGAAATGGTATTACTACCATCTCATATGTTTATCGAGAAAACCACATGAGTTAACATACATAAACCTCTTAGAGTGACACCTGGTACTATTATGATTTTAACATGCAATCATGGTAAAAAGGGATGTGATGAGCCTAGGATACCTCTTTTTAAAAACATTGAACTTTTCTACATTATATACATAGATCAAACATCAGACTATACTCCATTAGTATACACAATTATTGTCAATTAAAATTAAATTAATAAAAGATCATTTGAGTACCAAAAAAATTAAAAACACTGTCAGAGAAAATTAATTACTTTTTAATGTATCTGAAGAGGTAAAATGTGTCCTAACAAAAATGTATATCTATAAAAGGGTATCTAGTTGTTTTGTCACAGTGGATTAATAAACAGTACTGTGTGATATTAAATATTTCAAATGGAATTGGTCTTTCTAATAAGTAATACAGGGCCAGGCGCCGTGGCTCATGCCTGTAATCCCGGCACTTTGGGAGGCCAAGGTGGGTGGATCACCTGAGGTCAGGAGGTCGAGGCCAGCTTGACCAACATGGAGAAACCCCATCTCTACTAAAAATACAAAATTAGCTGGGTGTGGTGGCACATGCCTGTAATCCCAGCTACTCGGGAGGCTGAGGCAGGAGAATCGCTTGAACCTGGGAGGTGTGGAGGTTGCAGTGAGCCGAGACGTGCCACTGCACTCCAGCCTGGGCAAGAAGAGTGAAACTCCTGTCTCAAAAAAAAAAAAAAAGTAATATAGAATAATATTGTTATTAAATTCGTGTACATTTTTTACTTGGACTGGTTTTGATTGATATCATTTGCCACCTATCAACTTTGAAGTTAATTAGAAATATAATTACTTAGGCTAACAGAAAACTTAGTGTATGAAAATGTATTTTTAAAAAAGCAAATTGACTTCTACAAAGAAATTTTTATAAAAGTAGCACATTTTATTTTAAATGGAGCATTATTCTCAGCATATTTTTCAACGATTTATGTTTATAATCATCACCCTAATAATTATTATAATGATTATTATTATTACATAGTTCATCATAAGAGCTAAAGTAATTTCAATGTGCATTCATTTATTCATACAACTATCTCTGAGTTTCTGTATAAAAATCATCACAATCATCATCATTAACATCATCAAATGGTCTATTCAAATTTATAGAATAAATAATTACTATTTATTATAGAAATTATATAAATAAATTATAAATATTATATAAATAATTTCTACCTTGTAGAAGGCAATATTTTAAAGGCAAACCAATAGATAGAATCATCCTCTCTGCCAAAGTAAAGAATAAATCCTTTTAAAAGCTAAATTCAGCTATCCTAATATATTTTCAAATGTGGCAACAGAAACAATTTACTCTGGAATTGACTGCATTTCACATTTCTCCTTGACTTCACCTGTTATATGTGACAATAAATAGCAAACAAAATAAACCAATAAACATAAAGACCTTCAGCAAGAGTGAGAAGAAAAAGAACATGATGTTGGTTAACAGAAATTACTCTTTCTCCATTTGCATACTTTCATAATATTTAAGTTGCTTAAGGGAGGCTGCCATAGCGGTGCGCTTTGTCCTAAGAAAGTTTGTCACTGTAGCTCTGCACCCACAAGTTTCTTAAAGGGGTCATTTCCAACCACCGCTGTGTTCATAGTGTATGATTAACTCAGTCAGGAGTGTTGCTAAGTAGAGGATTTGCACATTGGTGGAGCTAGATGATTTTATGTGTTCATGTGTGTTATTACATATTTGTATTGTACATTTTCCCTTATTTTCCAGAACTTCTAGGCTGTTTATTGTCTATGGCTGCTATGGCTAGTTCTCTACCAGAAGTTCATGCTGTGCTGGTGTGGGGCTGTGGCGGAGGGTGCTCCTGAGCCAGGGACTGTACCTCCTGGCTCCCCCATTGTGTGGGTTTTGGCCATGAGGCTCGTTCTTGCCAACAGAGTAAAAGCAGAAGCGATCTGTATCATTTCTGGTCAGGACTTTTAAGAAGTGGGTGGGAATTGAACAATGAGAACACATGGACACAGGAAGGGGAACATCACACACCGGGGACGGTTGTGGGGTGGCGGGAGGGGGAAGAGATAGCATTAGGAGATAAACCTAATGCTAAATGACGAGTTAATGGGTGCAGCACACCAACATGGCACATGTATACATATGTAACAAACCTGCACGTTGTGCACATGTACCCTAAAACTTAAAGTATAATAATAATTAAATTAAAAAAAAAGGAAGTGAAGCCACAGGGAATGACAGAGGTAGATGGAAGGAACCTGGGTCTCTGAATCATATGGAGGAAGGTGTCCCACCAACAAACAAAAACAAACAAACAACACAAAAACACATACAAAAAAACCCAAACAAAACAAAACAAAAGAGTATCCAATACCAAGTTAATTTTTTTTTCTCTCCTGGAGGAGATTTTTGCCAAAATAAGTCTGAGTTTCCTTGTCACTACCATCACAAACTTATTAAGCATGAGGGTGATTTGTTTAATTGTGTCACTGGATGAAAGGTTACAGGTAGAGATCTCAATTGTATCCACAAAACTGAAAGGGTTTGTAAATTTTCTGACAAACCCATCTCGATAAACAGAGTAGAGACCCAGAAATAAGATTTTAAAGGCCTTCAAGTAGTCAAAATAAATGAATGCCATACACTCCTAGTGCCAAATGACAGGACTTTCCACAGGGAGACTCCATAAGACCTCACTCTGAGCTCTTTATACTTATTTTACAGACAATTTTATGAAGCATTTATTTTTATTTTTTTTATTTTTTATTTTTTATTTTTGAGATGGAGTCTCGCTCTGTCACCCAGGCTGGAGTGCAGTGGCGTGATCTCTGCTCACTGCAAGCTCTGCCTCCCAGGTTCACACCATTCTCCCGCCTCAGCCTCCCAAGTAGCTGGGACTACAGGTGCCCGCCACCACGCCCGGCTAATTTTTGTATTTTTAGTAGAGACGGGGTTTCACCGTGTTAGCCAGGATGGTCTCGATCTCCTGACCTCGTGATCGGCCCCCCTCGGCCTCCCAAAGTGCTGGGATTACAGGCGTGAGCCACCCTGCCCAGCAAGAAGCATTTCATTGGGGTTTCCAGTCTATGGCATGCAGAATTAACAGACACACTAATGCTAGCAAGAAACAGAACTACATTGATTAATGTGCAGAAAAAAGAAAAAAACCTCAAAAAATTAAAAGAAAACCTCAAAAACTTTGACAGAATCTACGTAGTAGAAGGAACACAGCAGTACAAGTCACTGTGTTTAACTTAACTCGGTGTTCATTTTCATTTACAGCAAAGTCTGAATTTAGAAAATAATTGTATACATACAAGGTAAGATTCACATAGGGTAAGCTACTGGCAACAAGGTCAGTTGAAATTCTTTGATTCCACACATTTGGTTAATATCAAATTATCCAATTATTTCACGAATTACAGTATTCCTTTTACAACTTCTCAATCATTTTTAGTGTACCTTTTTTCACACATAAATCTTCAGCCGGCTATTCAAGCAAAATAATGTCACTTACAAACTTAGAAAAAAAGTCAGTGTTCTAAACAGTTTCCCCGATTCTGAATAGGAAATATTTCTTTGCCTAGTATCTCACTGTAGCATTCAGGAAACCTAGTACCACACAGTAACCTCCTGAGAAAAGGAGGGCTAAGAGGTGCAAGGTCAGATGATTTGAGTAACAATTTTTTTTTTTTTTTTGAGACAGAATCTTGCTCTGTCGCCCAGGCTAGAGTGAAGTGGCGCAATCTCGGCTCACTGCAACTTCCACCTACTGGGTTCAAGCGATTCTTGTGCCTCAGCCTCCTGAGGAGCTGGGACTACAGGCGTGAGCCATCATGCCCGACTGATTTGAGTAACAAAAATTAAAGACAAAAAACAAAAGAGTAAAAAAGGCTTATTAGAATCAATTCTGATTATTTTTGTCCACTCTAGAGGGGAAGAGATTACAAAGGACATTTAATTTTGTAAATTATGAATGTATGCGAAGGTTATTCTAACAAGTGTAAGTTACCTTTGTATAGAGAAAGACCCATAAAGTTAAAAAAATTAATCATAGTTTCTACAACTCAAAAGAAAGAAGCAGGCAGGGAATTTACTTGGGAAAGTGTGGCTATTAGCTAAGAACGTATATTTTTAGTGGATGAATGCGAGTAAGCAAAAAAAGTACATTTTTAGAAAAGGAAATTGACATTTCAGGCTTTCTGGTGGTTTCCCTTTTGGTTAAACTACAGTCAGGAATATCTGTCTTTGATATTATGTTATTTCATTGTCCACTTAGTTTTGGGCTTTGGTATACAGAGGGCAAACATACTCTGTAGTCTTTTAAAGGGAAAACATTCCCTCCTATGTATGGGTGAGAAAGAGTTTTCTTAAGACCATGTAAGTGTGTGGGAGATTTTTCTAAATATTTTCAATGATCCAGTAGCTCAATCTAAGGGATAGAGAATTAAATTGGGAGGTCATTCTAAATATTCAATGGCTCATGTTCAGTTTCCATATTCTGAGGGTCAGATGCATATTCTCTCAAATTATCCCTTTCTTCCCTATGCGCAGCCAGTACTTTGCCCACACTCCTATTACAACATCCCTCACACTGGGATGTAAATATTTGTATGCTGTTTCCTGTTTCATTTGAGGAGAAATGTAAGACCATGGGGTTTCTTTTTGTCATCTTTATTTTCTACCATCAAAATGCAATGCCTGGCACTAAGTAGGTGTTCAATACTTGTTTGTTGAGTGAATGTAAGACTATCAAAAGTTACAGCAGGAATGCAATAAGTAATTTACAGGGGGAAAAGAGTCTTTCAGTAAGAATAGCAACTAGTTTACCAACAAAAAGGGGAATACACCATGAATTATGAATGATTCATGGAATAAGTGATTTCTCACTTTATATTAGCTTTTACTTGGCCAGTAAGTACAGAGTCCCCTGGGGCTTTCTGCATTATGAGTTGGGAGTCACCAGTATCACCAGGCAGTAGATCAAAATTAGCAGGGAAGCTAGAGTCCATGGCTGGCTCTGTGTCACAGTTTTATATTTCTGGTTTGTGGTAAGGTAAGAGTGGATGTGTTAAACCTGCAAAACACTGCTGTGTTCTGGGCAAATGGTGAAGCCCTATCATAGTGACAGATACAACCAATTGCTTCCTCTGAATGAATATAGAACCCAGAAATTCCCTCACATTCAACTTGACACACTCAAAACCTCCTTTCGTGTTTTTTCTATTGAGTAGGATAGGAATAAAGTGAGGTGAAATAGCATTTCTGTAGCACTGAGACAAACAGTTCAATTGTGAATCATTTCTTAACACCTATAAAAGACACCTGGGGTATTAATTTCAATGACGATGGATTGTGAAAGAATGTACTATTATTACACATATTTTCAGTCAAAACTAAAATTCTCATTAGTTTTTCAGACCAATACTATTAAACAAATTTTTTTCTGGGCCAATTTTTTTCTATGCTATTACCATGTACTGAGTTGAAACTCTCCACCTACCAAACTCTCACTGTGTCTACTGCTGCCCTTATATGTCATTGAAAGATATGAACAATATTTGTGGTTAGGTATGCCATGATCCCATCAGGAGCGAAGCTATTTTGCGCTGTAATGCAAATGACTGCATTCATCAAAGGAGCTTTGTTAGTTATTCATTGTGTTCCTTATCATTCCATTCCCAAACCCCAGCCATTCTGCAGCAAGCACAGAGGTGCGTCAGCAGCAGCAGCAGCCACTGTCAAAGGTATCCTTATCAGGCGAAGCAGCGTGCACTGGGAATGACCTGCCAAGTCACTGCAGGCTCTTGTCTTCCTACTCTTTTGTGCATAGTGGGATTCTTTTTCCTTATTCTATGATCTGCTTTTCTCAGCATGGTTCATGGTGCAAGACCCATAAACACATCTGGAAACAAAGCAAAAGAAAACAAAACAAAACCAAAAAAAAAAAAAAAAACACTGGAAATATAAAGGATTTGTGAAAACACCAGGCTCTCTTTTTCTTCTTTTTGTGCAAAATGAATTACTTTGTCCAACCCTTCTACATGGAAAGCTTAGGTGTCCCCCCCTCCACGTTTTTAATGCAAACATAATTATTTAAAGATGTCATAAAACTCTGAGAAGCCTAGTAAGAGTGGAGAGAAGGAAAGCCCAAAGGGATATTGACAAGTTGAGAAAGGGTCATCTAACGTCTCCGACAGAGGCAGGCACAGGGGGCTCTTTTTCATTACAACTAACACAGCTTAACTGAGTTCAACATACCCTCCTCCCTCCTCTGGGGAAAGGTTTTATTTTTGGATGGGCACTAGAGATTAATCCTCCTGTAATTTCTCCTGCTTTTCTAACTGTCAGGGGATTTGTGTTGGAGATAATGGCGGTATTAATGCCTAACCTAGGTGTAGAAATTGCCTTAATATAACAGGGATCATGAGGAGCACACCAATAATTGCCCCTGAGTGATAGCCCTTAAAGTAAATGGCAATATAGGCGGGCCCACATCCAGCCATCTTTAATGAAGTTTGGGGCTTTTCTGATGAGATTCCCTACACAATAGGCAGAGAATCAAGGCAGCCTCATGAGTTTTAACCTCTAGCCTGGATTTAATATGGCTTATTAAAGATCCTGGCTAGGTTCATTCTGGCATGAAATGTAATAAAAACAAGACACAAAATGTTCTGTAATTAAAGCAGTTTGGATAGTATTATCAGATACTTAATAATTAAGGATTTTATCAGACAGTGGTACTGGACAAGGAAGCAAACAATACACTGATAATGAACTGATAATGGCATTGAAACCAAGGCTATTAAAAAAAAACACTGAAACAGTAATGTGTATATTTTGTGAAAGTACTGTGGCATTATAACTTAAGTTATATAAGTATCACTGGGTGAAACTCTATAAATAAACAGTTGGCAGGAAACTAAAACAGTCTTAAGTAAAAATTCGTCACATCCTGCTCCTCTTCATCTCCACTGCCACAGTGAACTGGAGGAAGGGAGAGAGACTGGTTAGTTCCCAACTGTCCAGATATAACACAAGACTATGGCAGTGGGGAGAAGGAAAGGGGAAGAACAAAAGCTATGTTAAAGACTAACAACTGCTGGAACACCAAAGAGACTATAAATGATGTTATTATATTAACCTATCTATAAGCAAAGAAGGGCATTTACTATTGTTTCAATACATAATCTTTCCATTTATAAAGTTTTAACATAGTATTTTGTTAGCTTTTCTTTGTCCAACCAATTTTTCAGAAACATGCATATTTTCTTAAGCTTCTTGATTTAGAAAAAAAGAGTTTAAAAAAAATAACCTCAGTTGTTAGATGTGTGAAGCAACTACAAGTGAAATCTCTGTGGTTGTTCACTAATGTGTTTAGATATCAAAATGTAAACGTATTTTTCTCTTCCATATTTGTCCAATATAAAGTTCCTCCTCTCCCTGCAACACAAAGGGCAAACCATGTAAGTAGAAGGGCATTGGTAGATGATTCTTACGCCCTTAGAGAAAGGAGTAGAGTTAGGGGCATGACAGTTGGCTATTCATATTCACTGTCTTAGGGGATAAAAAGTACAAAAGGCGGACAGGTGCAGTGGCTCATGCCTGTAATCCCAATACTTTGGGAGGCCAAGGTGGGCAGATCACTGGAGGTCAGGAGTTTGAGACCAGCCTGGCCAATATGGCAAAACCCCATCTCTACTAAAAATGCAAAAATTAGCCAGGCGTGGTGACAGGCACTCGTAATCCCAGCTACTAGGAAGGCTGAGGCAGGAGAATCACTTGAACCTGGGAGGAGGGGGTTGCAGTGAGCTGAGATCACGCCACTACATTCCAGCCTGAGCAACAAGAGCAAGACTCTGTCTCAAAAAAAAAAAAAAAAAAAAAGTACAACAGGCACTATAACATTTATTCACTCATTTAACAATGAAATTTAACCCAATGGTTCTAAACAGGCTCTAGTTGTCACATAATGTCTTCATTGTCACAAAATGTCTTTGCTTTTTCTAAGAGTGATGACTAAATTACCCAGATGAATGAATTAAAGAGAAAAAGGTTTAAGTTAGTATTTGGCTGTTTTTATTTACAAATTCTCATATGTAAACCCTGTTGCAAAACATGTCTCCAATTTAGAAAACTAAAATTTTATGCCAAAAAGAATAAGAAAAAAATACATCAACTACAATTTCAGAATGCATATTAATTGTGCTTGTAATTTTCTAAATATTCAGATCTCATGTCTAGACTGGCTCTTCCCTAGACACTATTGAATGAATGACTGACTCCAGTGAATGGCATCAGAATGGAAATGATTAGCAGGACAGATGGCTATTCTGTTCACTTGAACTTGAACTCTTCCATTTTATAGAATTGATCAATATATAAGAGCTGTATTCTATTTTTTTTTTTTCCTGAAAGCTAGTACAGTAGGAAGCTAGAACTGGGCTAATTCTCTTGGCATTCAGCTGGATTTCTGAAGAGAGCCAGTTTTATCATCTGTGGAATGTGTTTTGCCCCTGTGTTCGTTCAGGACTAGGCTGGCATATGATTGCTTGACTATTCTGGTTGAACATGGCTGGTGTTATAGAGTGTGGAGGACAAAGCAGCCACTTCTGGAGGTAACTGAATTCTATTCTCCTGGCGTGCTTGGAAATGCAAATCCAACCTTCGCAATAGACTCACGATGGAAGCCATGAGAGCTCTGGTCATCCTGTGTGCCCCAGAGCTGTTGTACCTCCTGTGGGGGTAAGCTGGCTCCCAGAATCACCCATATGTTTGGCCAGATTGGAGCCTTCTGTTAGATGGAAATGGCTAATCCATATCTCATTGAGACTAGACCTTTAACTACTGAAGGGAATGTGTATTGTCCTCCATTTTATCAGAGGCCGTATCTAAGTTCCAGTTGTTTTCTGATAATAAATTCAACAGGAATGGAAAACAAAAATGTACTTACAAACAAAGTGGGTGTGAGTAACCTACAATTTCTGTTTTAGACTTAAATGTATCACAGGGCACCTTTCTATGTGAATCAGCAAGAGTTACATGCTAAATATAGATGTGGTGATCACCCTATAGTATTCTATTTTATGGTGCTTTACATCTGTAAAACACTGTGCACTGTGCCCTATGAGGATGGTGTGAGTTCTCATTTGTTTATTTAAAGATTATATTATTTTATATCCCCAATGAATAAGACATTCTACTAGATACTGTAGAGGGAAAAAAGAGTCTTAGGGTTCCTTCTCTTTTTCCAAGAAGATCATAACCTGAGGATGAAATCCTCAAAATCTGAATAATTCTAATCCAGAGTATGAAGAACTAATTCCAAGACATATAAATTAGGAGTACTACAGATTTAAAGAAAGTATAGTTGAGGAAGTCAGGAAAAGCTTTGGGGCTGGGTAGGCATCCCTGAAGTGGAGAAAATGTTTCCAGCAGAAACCTTGGAATGGGCCAACTTCAAAAGAAAGTTACAAATCAGCCGTTTGTCCAGTTTGGCATTTGTACATTTCAGAGCACAGGGAAATATGGCTTGAGAGAAAGGTGGGTTTGATCACAGCTTTGCAGTCTTAAAATACTTGCTAATCACAACTGATTTGGTGATTTTGTAGATAGTTGGAAGCTACTGAAGATTTCTGAGAAAGAGAATGCTATAGTTTGATATTCTTTAAGAATACATATCTGGCATCAGGGTGACAAGGCTGTGCCTATCATGGACAGAAGCAATCTCAGGGGTCAGATATTCCATCCCTCCTTCTGATCCTTGAGGAAGCCAAGATGCACCAAGAGTTTGACAGTGGACAGACCACAATTCCTTTTACACATCTCAAATCCTTTTACATCTGGCCAATTGTTCTTGCTAATATCACTGTTGAATTATCATAATTCTTATGTTTTTTATAAGACCATTTTCTGAAAAAAAAATCACAGAATTACTGATACATAATTGTGTTCATCAATTTTTTATAATATATTCTCTCTATAGCAAAGGAGTCTCCCCCTCATCTAAAATTCACATTTTTTAAACTTGATTTGCCAAAATCTGACATTAATCAATGTTCTCTGCCTTTTTCTCAGAGGTTGGCTAGAAAAGATTTCAGAATCCAGGCAGGAGACACTTCCTAGGTCTTCCTAAAGATATGTCTGTATATCCTTAAACATAGTCTAGGAACTCTTCTGAAGGAATGACTAACTGGTGAGCAATTTTTTACCTGGATAGCTTCATTTGTTTTACTCAGGTAGAGAGATTAGCAGCATCTTGTGACTAATGATCAATGACTTTTAAACCATGTCAATACCTTTTTAGAGTTAAAGCATAATGAAAACTTAATGAAGGCTTCCTGGCACATTAACTTTCTATGAGAAATATACATAAGAAATGCATGCTCAGCACTTGAATGACTCCATCTGAGTTTTATAGGTATTCCTGTCTTAACAATTTCGTTCCACAAACACTGCATATCTATTTTGTAAAAGCACTATATTAAGCAATTCTGCAAAATACAAAAATCATATATGAAGTGGATATTTTCCTCAAGGACCCTTTAAAATGTAAGTTAATTTTCTTGTGTTTAATCTTGAAAAGATCTGAAAATCAAGTTTAGAAAGCAAGCTGAACTACTGGTTGGCAGAAGAGATAGATATCGCATAGTCATATCAGAGCGAATGTAATCAGAGCTATTATCAAAGTCTAACCCTTGGGAGCACAATGTGAGGTTAATTATAAATGTGAACATGAGTCACATTTTCCTGAACACCTACTATGTGCAAGCATTATTCTAGGGGCATGGGGGGTTGGGTGAGAGAGTGAAGCAAATATGAGAAGTGGGTTTTGTTCTAGAGGAGAAAGACAGGCATGCACTCAATTAAAATATAAAGCATCTGCTGAAAGTTCAATAAGAGAGTTTCAAACAATATTATGGATTTTTGGAGGTGAATCCATTTATTCTATTTAGGGCTCTGAGAGGACATCATAAAGTAGATACCATTTCAATTGGGTCTAAAGGTGATATGGGATTTCTAAACATAAAGAAATAAGGGAAGAATCATATCAATCTTGATCCCAAAATTTTAATATTTGTATTTGGGTAAATCTGGTTAATATATATGAATATCAAAGACACACTGGAGGAGTAAGCTATCCCTAGGGAATAACGCATGGAGGTGTGGTTGTTGGGAGCCTTGTCTGTTACTCTCTCTAGGAAAGCAACACTGTAGGCTGTTATCCTTAGCAAACTAACACAGGAATAGAAAACCAAATACCACATGTAATGATGAGAACACATGGACACATAGAGGAAAACAACATGCCCTGGGGCTTTTTGGTCCCAGAGTGGAGAATTTGAGGATGGAGAGGATCAGGAAAATTAACTAATGGGTACTAGGCTTAATACCTGGGTGGTGAAATAATCTGTACGACAAACCCCCATGATGCACGTTTACCTATGTAACAAACCTGCACTTGTACATCTGAAATTTAAAATGAAAGTTGAAAAAAAAAAGGAAAGTAATACTCATGCAGCACAATGGTTGTTTTATGCTGTTGCTTTTGTGCTTGTCATTTGTTTGGTTGGTAGAATCACGTGGAGTCCCTGCAGTACTTGTCAAATGACTCAAGTCTCTCTAAAGCCCAAGGCCCAGGGAAACTGCTGCACTTTTTACACAGGGAAACTCTAGGGAACATCACTCAGTGCAGAGGAAAAGCTAAAGCTGTGTCTGAGGACAGCCACAGCAGTAGAAAAGACCCCTTGTATATGTAGGGATCAGATGGAACAATTTGAAACTCCAAAGAACTTTTGCTATCCACTTTGCTGTCCCTTAGACGAGCAACATGAAAGTGTTCTACTCATGACAGACACATTTCCCATGAACTTATTCATCTAGAGTTATATGTGCATTTTACAGCAAGACATAACTCTACCCTTTTCCACTCAAGAAAGTATAGCGGAACTGAGTAACACTGGGGATTAGAGGACTACTCTCTCCTCCTCCTCCTATATTTACATCTACGTATATATGGTTTGTGAACATTGAGTACTTTTATACATTTATTAGTAACATATTGTTTGCAAAATACGTCACAACTTCTAAGACACATTTGAATATTTCAAAAATATATTGACACAATTGGAAGGAGACTAAGCCAGTTATTTCTCCATACTCCTGCCTTCAAGAAGGCTCTTAGAAGATTGGTACAGGAATTTGCTCCTAAGATTTTCTCATAATAAAATCCAAGTGAATTCATCTGGAAACAATATTTCTTTCCAGACTCAGTTTATAAGTTGAACACAAAAAGGAAGTTTCGTTCAGGAAATGCTTCTCTATTAAGCCTCATTTCCAGCATGTTAAAAATTATGCACTAGAAAGTTTGAACTAATTAAATATAAGCTTATTTTCATTCACTGAAAAATTAGAAGTTTTAATCACTCTATATTTAATATGCAATATTGTAAGAAAGTAGCAAGTGCATAACTTTGCCTATTCCTAAAACCTACCTGACTAGGATATTCAATATAGGAATAAACTCTTGTTAAACGTGCAACCAATATATACATAAAAAGGTAACAGTAAAAACATGTGGTAGGCAGGCTATGTTTATGATCCCCTGACAGAAAATATATAAATAGGGAAAATTTACCACTCATTCACAAGGAGCTTAATGAAGCAGAACTAAGATCCCACACATACTCTCCATCAGGTTGGGAACACTGGCAATTTCTCAATTTCATGCAGAATAGCATTGTTCAAGTCACAGCTCCTGAAACAAAGGTCATTTTTTCTCCTTCAGTCAAAACAGTAAAGCTGTAATTGTTCTAGAAGTTTTCATTTTTTTTAAACTAATGTTAATTTAATGGGTATTTTTTCCCAATACCCCTGAATGTACATGATGCAGGGCTATGCTGTCTTCAAAAATCAATCTGTTCCATGCATTGTGACATGTGAACTACATTTAATTGATGTTTATTGCAAGGCAAAATGATTTATAGTGTCTAATAAGCATTCACAATTTAGAGCCTGTTGTTCATAACAGCTTCCTGAAATAACAGAATCTTGGGGTATATAAGTCTGTTTATAAAGGCTATTAAAAGCATTGCATTTATTTAGCTGTGGATCTAATTCAGCTATAGACAGGATGAAAAATCAAGCAACAGCAAATGCTGCTATGGCTAAGTCTGGTAATGGCTAATTGAAAGGTTGCAGTGGGTAAGAAGGCTTAAATACGGCCCAGATTTTAGGCAAAGGCATGCTTCCAATTTCTGAATGTTCATTTATATTTCCACAAGCTGCATTACTGGGTTGGCCAAAAGAGGCATATGGAGTTTCAACTACTCTTTAAGCTGCACATTTTTAACTTCCACATGAAAACACATTTTAAAATTTGTTACATCACCTTGGATCATATACCAGGTCTGAAAACTCTCTTCTAGCACTTCCTTAAATTGTTTTGAAATGTTGGTATAAAAGGTCAGATTAACAAATCTACGGGATATACTAAAGAAAAAAAGTAATAAATACAGACAAATCACCTTCCTATCAACCTGGAATGTGCTGACATTATTTTGGACAGATATTTAGCCCATCTAAACCATAGGATAAAGCTGCCGGTATTTGTCTGAATTTTGGCACCCATTCTTCTACTAGTCTACAAATCCTTTGAACTCTGATCTCAAACCTAATTCCTCCTTTGAACTCTGATCTCAAACCTAATTCCTCATCTACTCCCAAAGATCTGCCCTTCTCTGTTTCCTATCTCAGTGCCAATGTCCATCCTCTTCCCAGTTGCTGCAATCTGAAACATCGGAAACTTCTGTGACTTCTTTCTCTCCCTAACCCCCTCATGGAAATCAGTCACCAAACTGTGCTGCTCTGGCCTGGCTTCCCTTCACTGCCATGTCTTCCAAGCCAGCTCTCTGCCCCTATTCTCACTACTCTTGCCCAGAGATTGGGATTTTCTATTGACCTCTAGTCTCTCTTACATACCACCCTTCTCAGTCCCACCAACAGGAGCCTCCAGGGCCACTGTGGGGTACACAGTACTCAGTCCATCCTCCTCAACTCCCAGAATTTAGCCGTGCAAAGCTCCTTACTTCATCTGGCAAAAAAATGGCTATACTAAAAACCAGTGTGAAAATTTCCTGCCCTACTTAGTTAATAGTAACCCTCCCTTATTATAGCTGAGCATAGATCTGATCTTGCCACTTCTTTTCTGAAAGAATTTGAAGATTTCTAACTACCTATAAAAGTCACTCTCGGCTGGGTGTGGTGGCTCATGCCTGTAATTCCAGCACTTTGGCAGGCCAAGGCAGGCGGATCACCTGAGGTCAGTAGTTCAAGACCAGCCTGGCCGATGTGGTGAAACCCTGTCTCTACCAAAAATACAAAATTAGCTGGGCATGGTGGTGCATGTCTGTAATCCCAGCTACTCAGGAGGCTGAGACAGGAGAATCACTTGAACCTGGGAAGTGGAGATTGCAGTGAGTCGAGATTGTGCCATTGCACTCCAGCTTGGGCAACAAGAGCGAAACTCCATCTCACATACACACACACAAAAAAAGTCACTCTCCTCAGACTAACACCTTCTAGATTTCCCAGGTTCAGACTCTCTGCTTTTAACATCTTTACAGCCAGAATGCTACACCCTCATCTGTCAAGGAATAGTTTGAATTGCATGTTCTTCATGAAGTTTTCTGGTGGTCCCCTTAGTCCAATTCCCCCTCCCTTTTCCCTGCTCTTCTCATCAATTGTATTTTGTCTCACTATATAATGATTTGCCTGAAAGACATAAAGCCCCTACAGGGTCAAGATCCTGTCTTACACACCTCTGGAGCCTCACTTTGCTACTGCAATGCCTTGCACCTAGAATCATTCACACTCAGTAAATATTTGTTGGATTTAATTGGATGGTCATTATCAACCCCTGGGTTAATTTACTACTCCTATCACCAAAAAGTTACTAATGCTTTCAATTACTTATAATAGCTACATTTTAAACTTGCAAATTAAATTACTTTATTTTAAAACAAATACCATGTTTCTGACATTGGTACAAGGAAAATAAGCATTGATGGAAAAGATCTTGGTCCCCTAGAAAATGTAGGTATAACCACATGACTCAAATGGACACAATAATCCCTCATTTTATTCTGCTATAGCTAAAAAAAGGAAGAGAAAGATAACTCATTGCTTCATGGCTGTGAAGTTTGTTATGAAGCTTCAAAAAAATTTAAATTCTTATTTTAGTATTTGCTAGAAAATCTAAAAGAAAATCGTCTTTAAAATTCCAGCAACTTTTCCTCTGTGAAAAATTTAGTTCGGATTATTCATTACATTCCCATCCCACTTTACAAAGCACCTGATAGCAAAATGCATTTCAGAAAAATGCAGCTAATACTTTTGAGAACAGCCGTTTTTCTGAAAAATAATATTTTTGTTTATACAAATTGCACCTAAGTTAAACTTTCATGGAGGATATGATATACTCCAATAGCATAGTGTTTATATCATATTAAGGTCTACCATTTGCTGAGAAGTGGACTTGGTGCCCTGGGAACAATAAAGAATTAAAAGATTGAGAAATACAGTATTTTCATGTGTGAATAATTAGTCAGAGATCTAGTAAGGAGTATAAGAAAATCTATAGTATAATTAGATGCTAAAGGATTTAGCACAGATAAAGGCTCATCTGTATTTAAGGGAAACAATCCTGTCTTCCTGGTATGGCCATCACCCTTTGCCCACACACTATGGCTGCAAACTTAGGCATGATGTTTGGTTCTGCCTTCTCCATTGGCCCTTCCATTCAGTTAGTGTCAAGAAGTAATAACTCTAAGCCCTTTCTTTAAAATTTCTCTCAGTCTCCTATTTTAACTTTGGGTTCCATTGTCATACTCAATTGCAGAATCTCCTCATTTCTGTATTAACTTTCTCGTTCTTTCCTTTAGATTTATCTGCACCTGCGTGTGACCACACCATTTGGCCTGCTCAGGTGATCCAGTGACCATTCATTATGTGGTTAAGCCAGTTCAAACACCAGTTATGATATTTATAAGGCCCTCTGCAGTATGTCTTCATTCATTCATTTACTCATTCATTAAGTCAACACTTATTCCCTAACACTTGTTTTAGGCCAACCACTATTCCAGGCACTGGGGATATCATTTTTATTGAAACACTAATTTTATTAATATAGAAAGGACCTGGTTATGTCTTCTTGGATTATTCCCTTGCCTAATTCAGCTGGTTTTCTCCTTTACAAAATGGGAAAACATCTTGCCTGCCTTATTTAGGTCACTGGATTTCTGGAAAACTTAAAGATGAGGTAGGGCAGTGAAAAATGTTTATAATCTCTAAAAGAATAAACAACCATTCATTCTTTTATAAATTTTTGAGTTATCCTGGGGAGAAGTACATTCAAGTAACTTAAGCAGGAGGGAAATTGGTTCCAACTGAGGTGTCTGTGGAAGGCTATCAGGATGCAGTGTTCTCTGAGCAAGGTATAACTGGGATAACTGGACTTTGTCCTGCAACCACTGGAGAATCTGTCAAAGAAGCTAGAAGAACAATGTACTGGCAGCAGGGTGGACGATGGCTTGAAGCTTAGAGACTGGAAGCAAAGAGAGAGATCAGAGGTTGAGAGAAAATGTGGGCTTAATAAATCCAGAAGGTTGGTGGTAAAGGAAAGGAGAGATAATGCTGAAAGAAATACAGATGAAAGAAATGTTGAAGATGAAGAACATTAGAATTTGGCAACTTGGATATGTGGTGGTTGAGGGGACAGGGTGAGGGACACACATGAGTAGACAATGTAGACAATGGTTCCCTAATTAGGATTTACAGTGAGAGAATGGCCTGTAATATCCCTACTGGGAAAGAACAAATTTCTATTCAACCAAGATGGGTTTAATCTTGAATGGTGAGACTGAAGTACACACATCTTATGGTCAGCACTGAATATTTATGAAATACTGACATAACAGGAAGTATTATTGGAGCCAAAATGCAGTAAGGGGTTTGAAGAAACAGCATTTCATAAGGACTTCTCAGATTAATGTACAAGATTTATGGTACAGAATCCTAAGATCGGGGAGGAGTTTGAAAGAAGGTTCAGTACAAGATGCTACTGCAATTAAACTGTTATTAATATTGTTATTTTATTATTTATTTTTGCTGCAATAGTTGAAAGGGGAACTGATTTTCTCAGAACGCCCCACTTGATGACAATTTTTTTGAGTTCTGGAAGTGCAACTCTTTGTATTTGAATTAAATTAATTCATTCTTTATTCCCACTGCTAATACAATGACCTAGATTTCAGGCTGTCAAGATTTGCAAATGTAAAATGATAAGACTATCTTTTTCATGAGATTTTAGTGTCAAGATTATTTACTAAATGCTGCTATCTAAGGGAGTTATTTTAGTATTCTAGTTTCTAAGCCTCCTCTTTGTAGGCTATTCCATGGGATTCATATTTTATACTTGCTTTTATAATTTATATTTCATTTCAGTTCTTAAAAAAGCACTACACATTTAAACAAAATTCATCCCCCTAAAAAATCCATAGAGAGAATTTTTAAATGTTAGGATAGAATATAAATTGAACTGTAGACTTCAAGGTTTTAAGACATCATTTCTATATAACTGCATATGATTCCTTAATAATTTCTAGACCCTGCACTGTCCAATACAATAGTCTAGCCACATGTGGCAACTGAAATTTAAATTGGCTAAAATGACCAAATGTAGAAGTTCAATTCCTGAGTTATACCAGCCATACTTCAACTGTTCAACAGTCCTATGTGGCTAGTGGCTATTGTACTTGATGGAACAAATATAGAATATTTCCATTATCGCAGATATTTCTATTGGAAAGTGTTGGTTCAGGCCATTTTTTACATAAGGGAAAGGATCTAACTGTAGTCTCCTTAGTTCCATTTGTCCCACAGTTGGTCAAGTATTTGTATAGCACATGATCACTAATATTGCTGAAAATGTGGACCAGCTTGGCCACAGCCAACTTGACAGCTGTTCACAGATATATTCCTATGGTCAAAGTCCTAGAATATCTCCTGCCATCCTTGTGACCAGTGTCACACCGGAAGAATGTTTCTTACTTTCCTGTCTCCCTCAAGGGACCATGCTATCCATACCACTCAAATGACCCCAAAGATCCCTGGGTATTCAATCTCCCGCAAGGGAATACAGACCAAAGTAACTAGTCTCATATTATTTATTTATTATTTGGCCACATTTATTTCATTTTGAATTTTGTAAGAAAAGAAAAAAATACATCTTTTAAAAATGTGACTCTACCATGTCTCCTAAGAAACAAGTCCACACTGTTTCCTCTAACTCAAACGCAGGAACCTCAGGAGGAAAGAGGTGTTGAGACCGAAGCCTGATCTCAGCCAGTGGGCAGGCTTTATTTTTCCCCTAACACATTCAATAATGTAATTAAACAAATGTGTTGTGAGTATTGCAGAGATATCTTGCTGTTCTGCAATTTGTTGAACACAAAGATAACATTCAATAGATCCAAGAAAAACCTAGGAAGATTGAGCCTTCCAAAATCACTTTGGTTTTGGCTTCAGCTTACAACAATGGTCAATTTAATTATTGGCTATCACAGAGCATAAAATGAGCCATTATGATAGCTCATCAGAAGAAAAAAAACCTGACACGAAGGCATCTGATTTAATTGGTTCTGGTACTGAGAATTCACCAAAACAATCCCTGACTATAAACAATGTTACAGCTATTAAATTCATCTTATAAAGATCAAACATTTCAGAAGGAGATTAAATTTTAAAGTGAGCTGAAAAACGCACCCTTATAAACAGGAAACTCTGTTTCGTAAACCTGCTAATTAAAGCACTTAATAAATGGGGGAAACCCCCCACTCTAAATCTCTTGTTGGTACTGGAGAATTTTCATTTACGCTTTCAGAGAAATAATCAATCGAAGGGCACATTTTTCTTCTCTTTGTTCTCTCCCATCAATTTTAATGGGTACAGAACATCAGTCACACCAAATGTAATGGGACAAGAAGATGGATGAGTACATTTGAAGCCACTAGTCACAGGACAGAAAACATCCTGATGAGGTGACCGTGGCAGCACAGACTTCAACAATATGGTCTGGCAATATTTAGTAGGTGAAACTATGTTGCTACATGATTTGGTATTAGCACTCAGCAAAATCAATCTCCAGACACAATTTATCACATGTCCGCAGGTCAGACTTTCAAAGTCACATTCTCAGAATATGCTCCAATGACACACTCTTAATTCCAGAAATGATTTAAACAAGCAACAAAGTGGGTAAAGAGGAGAAGGACAATGTAACCTTAAGGAGCCCGACCTTGTCTCATAAGTGATTAAAATTACTTGGGAAGGAAAATTTTATTATGGCTTAGAAATTATGTCTGCATATTACAAGATGAATTGGTGTACACAGTGGGTGCTGAAGACTGAGATCCCATCTTCAGGATCGAGGGATTCACTCCCCCAGGGGCGGGGGGCATGGGCTGCTGCAGCTTCTTCCTACTCTGGAAACTGAATTCAGTCAAAGGGAGTTGCTTTATTCAAAGCTATGCTCACTCCTCCAGGGATAATGGCATGGCTCTTTTGCCTGGCTCCGGACAACTCTGACAGGCCATTCCAGTTTCAGAGCTCTCTCTGCCATCAGATCAGCAGGGGTCTCTGTTAAGATTGCATCATAGTTCTACATTTTCCTCTGCCCAGTCCGACTACCTTCATTTCCTCCCAGGTGTTGTTCCTGGGACAACTCTCCAGGCTTCTCACACGCAAATCTCTGCCTCAGAGCCTGTTTCTGGGGCCACTTAACCTAAGACAGTATACATAATTAAAACACTTTTTCGTTGCAGCAAATTAAGGTAACTGAAATGCTGGACTAAATGAAATATTAACAACTATGGATATTCAGGTTCACAATTAGTTACATACTATTACTTCATTTGGACTTACACAGACGAGGTGTTTTCTATTTAGCTTATTTAAAATTTTAAATTAAAAAAATTAAATGTATTGCATTTAACACTTTAAGTAAAGAGTTTGACTCTGTGGGTCTCTATATCCCTAAGTAACCCAGTAACTAATTAAAATGTAGCAACATATTCAGGAGCAGGGGTACCATTTGCTATGCATGATGGCTTCTTATTTGGAGCCCTGAAGGTAATATTAGGCATCATAAGACCACTCCTTGGTTCCCACCTCTGACTACTATAATTTTTCTTTCTTTCTTTTTTTTTTTTTTTAGACGGAGGCTCACTTTGTCGCCCAGGCTGGAGTGCAGTGGTGCAATCTTGGCTCACTGCAAGCTCCACCTCCCAGGTTCACACCATTCTCCTGCCTCAGCCTCCCGTGTAGCTGGGACCAAAGGCACCCGCCACCACGACTGGCTAATTTTTTTTTTTTTTTGTATTTTTTAGTAGAGACAGGGTTTCACCGTGTTAGCCAGAATAGTCTCAATCTCCTGACCTTGTGATTCGCCTGCCTCAGCCTCCCAAAGTGCTGGGATTATAGGTGTGAGCCATAGGTAGTTCCCTAAGGTCCTATTAGCCACTTTTTTTTTTTTTGTCTCTTATTCACCTTCTAGAAGCAATAACTTATTACAGGATATTAAAGAAATGAAACCAACCCTATATGAAACATATTAACAAAAGATTCTACATCTCAAATTAGTAAGTGCTTTTCCCTCTTTCAGAATTTTCTGTGATCTATGAAACACAGATAATACTGGCCAGAAAGCTGCAAATACTTCAAAGCTGCCAAAGCAAACTTCAAAGTGAGAATCCAGGTTTAAAATGATTTTCTGGTTGTAGTAGAAGATGAGAATGAGGTATCTTTGGTGTGAGGAAGATGAGGAAAGCACCCCAGAGCAGTCATTAGCACATTGACAATATTGTTACTGGTTGTGCTCCAGGACACCAGAGGGGACCTGGTGATCATGTTCATCAGCACAGATAAGGTGTCCATTACTCAGCCAGAAAACGGCAGTCCATCAGAGAAGATCATTTAATCAATGAGATGATCTTAGAAATTGCGAGAAGGCAATTATATACACCATTTGCTCTAAATGCTTTTGTCACTCTTTTGTTTGATTTTTTGTTTTATTTTTGTCATTGATCAGTTACAAAACCATATTTTCATCTTCCTGAAATTTAAGACCTACTTACTTTGCTTTCAAGAGACTGGAGTGACACTATAAAAGCTTTGTAAGGCAACTTCTTTGTAAATTTATATTTAACTTACTTTCACCAACTTTTTGTAATAGTATCCAAATGGAGCCCATAAACCTGAACAAAAATGTGCAGTCACAGACTCTATTTAATACCTGTTAATAACCAACTATGTGTATCCACATCATACAAATAAATTGGTAATATTTATACCTTTGCTGAGGTTACTAGTATTTATTGGTGACATTTTTATTCAGAAGGTAGAAATGAAAAAGATTAAATTAAGCCATTTAGTCTATGCCAATTCAGGAGGAGATATTTTCTAAGTTTTTTTTTTTTAAATCTAAATTGCACATCCAAGGAAATAGTATTAAATTGAATGGAAGACTGTTACGGTCTGACTTTCTCTCAATTCTATTAACTGTATTAAAGAGAAAGTTAGACTATAACAGTCTTCCATTCAGTACAATACTATCTCCTTGGATGTGAAATTTTGTCCCCAAAAAACTTAAAAAAATTTTACATTATATATATATAGTAATATATACACAGATATATACATATATGTAGTTTGTTTGTTTGTATTGAGACAGGGTCTTGCTCTGTCACACAGGCAGGGGTGCAGTGGCACAATTATAGCTCACTGCAGCCTGGATATCCCAGCCTCAAGCAATCCTCTTGTCTTAGCCTCCCACGTAGCTGAAAGTAAAGGCATGAACCACCAAGCTCGGTTAATTTCTTTTATTTTTTACTTTTAGTAGAGATGGTTTTACTATGTTGGCCAGGCTGGTTTCAAACTTCTGGCCTCAAGTGATCCCCCCGCCTCAGCTCCCAAAAGTGCTGGGATTACAGGCATGAGCCACGGCACTTGGTCTCAATGAATTCTTGAAGTTTGAGTAAATTTATCCTCAGGTAGAAACATCACTTTTGCATGTAGTTCTTAAAATGGCCAACATAAGCAAGACAGTAAAGATATCTTTCCTCCTTCCCTCCTTCTTCAGATTCCCCAGTATCTGAATAAGATTCTAGTCTTACATGGGAAATATGGTTAGCATTTTGGTCACAGTTTAAAGCTAAGTTTTGTGGAATGGAAAATTAATCTTGGTTAAAATGAATTTTTAAAAGCAGTAACTTAACTTCCACCCTCTCTGAGTTGTCTATCTAAGGTTATATGTGGGCCACTGAATTAGTTTCCTGAAAAGCTTAACTGATATTGGGCATATGAGGGGAGATTATCTTTATTTTCATATATTTTTCATGGTTCAAACAATATCCTAGATGTAAAAGTAATAACAAATAATACAAGTAAAAGAAATATGGTTTTGAGTTATTCAACAATATATGTTTAGTATATTATTAAATTGGGTTAGGTTTTATTTAAAGCTTAAAGTTTTAAAAATGATTCTCATGGTTTTCTTAGGCTACTCTTTGTTTTATATGATTTTAATTTGGATATTTGCAGTTGAAGAAATTCTCATTTTAGTACTATCATAATTATGAAGCCCAAAGGCATCATCATCAAATAAAATTTAGGCAATTTCCAGTATATTTTATAACTATCACTTACATCCTTTTTATACTAAAGAGGAGTGTATATAAAATCAATAATTTGACAATTTAGCTATACTTGACTATTTCAATGATGGACAAAAACCACGTAAAATAAAAACAAACATATTAAAGTATTTTTACACAAAATAGTGAATTCAATTTTACAGCACAGAAGGCAGCAAAAGGAGATGCATCACAATTACTAAGTCAATAATTGATTCATTTAATTTTACACAGATATATCCTATTTTAGATGCCTTATTTTAATTTTTACTTTTAATTTTAATTTTCATCTATGCTACAGACAATTATCATCACTATGACATCTCATGACACTTTGTTCCTCCCTGTCTTTCTCTCACACACAGAACTAATATTGCTCTTTGCATCATAGTTATTTGCGTGCACATCCATTACCCATGTCTGCTGGATAGTAACCCCCTTGAGGGCAGGGATCCCATCTTATTATGCTATTGTGTCACCTTCATCATCTGACTCTGGAGACAGGATTCATTTAGTATTTAGTCATGCACCTTTACTTGAGAAACATCTGTAGAGGTACTGAGGTAGAGGCTGAGGATGCAGAGATTGAAGACAGGGTTTTTGACCTCCAGAGATTCGGAGATCAGTGAAGCTGCAAGTAAACTGAGAAAACAATAGCATTTGGTACATATTATGACAGATATATGAACTGGGTACCTTGGAAAGAGAAAAGAAAGGACCTACTCAAGTCAAAGGACTCTAGGAAGATTTCCTGGAAAAAAACAATGTCTGAACCACACTTTGAGGAGTATTATAACTTATTCAGATGAAGAAAAATGGGAGGATTCTGGAAAGAAAGAATAGCTTAGTGTGTTGGTCGGTTTGACAGTTGAATAATAAAAATTCTATCATTTTTTGTCATGACTGGAGATCTTAAGATGAGGTCCTAATGTGTTGGGTCTGCATAAAGCGAGGTAATGAAATGCTTGGTCTGGGATAAGAGAGACAGGAAGAGGAGCCCAGTTGGGGCAAAGGAAGGGCCAATAAATGTTTTGTTTTTGGAGAAAAGCAATGACAGTTTCCTCAATTCTAAGGGGCAAGTTCTTCCCAATATCTTATTGTTTCTGAAACTGGGATATAGCTTGCAGTCAATATGCATATTAAAATATGTTTGTCAATCCCGCTCCCCCAGCTGTTCTTAAATTTGATGATGAACCTCATAATTAATATGTGTCTTAAAATAGGTGGCATTTTCGAAATCAAGAAAACATAGCATATGTAGTTTCTTTAATGATTTTATTTTCAAACAGAACTCAGTGAATACTGGAGACAATAACAAAATGTTTCCTTGGTGAATGCAGTTTTCACTATGTCCCCACTCCTATTCTTTGACTCAATTTGTATTAAATAGCTGCTCTGGGCCATACACTGCATGGGATGGTAGAACTGCATAGGCGCAGCAGAACTGAAATACACACACAGAAGCATCTGACTATACTTTAAGTTGTGAAGCATGATGGAAGAGAATCATTGAGAAGAATGAACTGACTCTGTCCTGGACTCAGTGAAAACTCCGTAAGTGGCAAACTTTGGATTGAGCCATAAGGTATTAGGGCTTTTACCAGAATAGGGGTGAGGAAGGAGAGGTGGGAAAGGCACTGTAGGCATAAGGGACTTTGTGTTGAAAGAAAAAGAGATGGGAAAAATCACATTGTCTTAAATAGAAAGTTATAGTTTTCTTTGGTTAAAATTTTAGCTGTTAGGAGAGAATGAGGAAACAAAACAGATTGCGAGGAACCTTTCATGGCAGAAATGGATTTATGGAAAAGTGGGGAAAGGCTTTCAAGCCCTCAAAAGTGGGGAGTGACAAGTCACCTTCCCATACTGATCAGCTCTCATAGGTGAGATAATTTCACTGAAGTTACTAAAATGATGGGGAAAGAAGTAGTTGTGAGGATTTCTCTTCCTATGCCGAAAAGAGCATCTTCCATAGACCCTTTCAAGGGAAAACAATTTAAAAAGCATCTTTTATTGATTCTCTTACTTCTTTCTTCCCTTCCTCTCCTCCATTCCTTCTTCCATTTTTTTCTTTATGAGATACTTATTGAGTGCCTACTATATGTCAGATATTCAAAATTTATGGGTAAGTTCAGTGGATAAATATGAAATGGGACATTTGGTATTTACAATAAAATGAACATGTACTCTAACATTAGGCAGACCCTGGTTTGAACTCCAGGTGTCCTGCATGCTGACAATATGAATTTGTTACTTGACTACTTTGTGCTTCAGTTTTCTCATCTGTAAAATGGGGACAGTATTACATATCTCATAGGGTCATTGTTAGACTGAAATGATACCCTAACTATAAAAATTACCATTTATGTAATGCCTGTAATGTGTTATACCCTTTAAACGTATTGTGTCATTTAATCCTCAAAAAAACACTTACAGGTTCAGACTTATCAATTAAACAGAGGCTCAATGAAGTTAAGTAACTCACAGTCAGAGAGAAGACTGCTTGATTCAAAAGTCTCTATTCTTTCTTCTATGCACAGTGTTTCTCCCATGCTATGCTTGATATTTAGTGTGCAATCACCAAAGACAGTAACACTACAATGTGCCATCTTAGTAAAACATTTTTATTATTTTCCATGTTGTCTTAACACTGAGGCTCATAACTCCATAGGCAAAGTCAACTTCAAACATTATAAACATGACTCATTAAGGAAACAAAGGGCATACTTGAGCAAATGGCAAAATCTACCTATTGTAGGTCAAGTTAGCGTGGCTGAGCTCTTTTAACTAAAGTACCAAGCAAACAATATTTATACATATTCTATGATTAAAATTGACTGAAGACTCTATTTGATTGCATCCTCAGGGTGTTTTGTGTCTCATGGGGATGACGGCACTAAGCCCCTTCACTTTTGTGTGGAGATCAAGATCCTCAATAACTATAGTCGTCCCATATCCTGCTTTAGTCCAGCTGTTCCCATTACCCCAAAATATGTCCTATAAGTCATCTTTCTGTGATTTGGCTTTTACAATACATCCTGGACATCAAACACATTACCTTTGACTAAATGGTATGCAATGATTATGCTGAAGCAAAAAAAAAAAAAAAAAATTGCCCTTGGTTCCTAAACTAGGCCATTGGGAATAATATCCACTGTCTGGCTGTTCCATGAAGTTTCTTAGATGCCCCTTGCTCATAGAGAACTATCTTTTCTCTGCCATGTCCACTGTACTAAGGTCATACCTTTCCACACTTTCTTCTAATTCCTTCATGATACACTCCTGGAAGACTGGCTTCTTTTTTTCCTTATGCTTCTTTTGTGTCCTGTGTTACTATCTAGCAGAGTTCTGAGCACAAAGCACATGCAGAATCATTATTTTTGGTATTCAGTGAGAAATGCTCTTTCCCAAACTTTGCTTTACCTAAAAAAAAAAACCATCTAAATTCTACCATGATTCAGTTATAGAAAAACATTTACTGTCACTGATTACAATAGTGGTCTTTCATCTGCAGATTTATTATTTTTTAAACCATACTAAGTAGTTTGGAAATTCTCTTTGTTCCTATACTCTTGGGAGAGTCTTTTTCGTTGTTAGTAAAGATATCTGAAACAGACCCTTAAGAGGCCTAGGAGTGAGAGGTTAGTTCAGAAAAAAAAAATCTAATTTCCACTGAGATGAGAGCAAGTTTCCAAAATAAATAAATAAATAAATAAAGCCCTACAATGTTTCTATAAAGCTACATAAAACAGAAGGGAGGGGGAAAAGCAAAGCTTCAGAGGACCTAAACAACCATAAAGCAAGATTTACAGCTTGCTACAGAATGGCACAAATTAGCAATTAGATGTTACATGTCGAAATACAGGAGAATATGGGGCTGCTACCTTTTAAGCTTTTTGTTGAGGGAAGCAATAAAGTATTCATAATAACCCTTTTAAGGCTAGTATTCCACATTGAAAGTGATAGAATTAATAAAGAAGAAATGAATACAGCTGGAAGGGAGATGGAGATGGGACAGGTTATATTGATGACTTTGGAAACGTTGCATTTAGATATAGAAAACACAGCTGCATTTGAATTATCTATAATTCTAAATCTGAAGACATGATTGCTACCCAGTGCTACTCTAAATTCACATGAGTCACAAGAAGAAGTTTTTTAAGAATAATACCTAAAATTCTCAAGGTGCATGCCCTAGGATGGAAAATGAGAGAAAACAGTGCCTGGAAAAGATTGAATGATTGAGGCAGATCCTGTTTTGGGCAATGTGCTCACTTTTCCCCATGAATTATAAACATGTCAAGAGTATAGAATCTTCATAAAACCACAAGCTGGGGACCTCTTTTGAGTGACTACCTAGTGATTTAATTCTTGGGTCTTTCTTAATCATTTAATCAGATTGATTGCATACCTATTAAATGACTTGTGAAAATTCAATATATGAAAATCTACTTATATAAAATGAATGTACTGGACAGTGATTGACTGTTGTGGGAGGATTTTTGCACTATCAATTAATCTTTATTCTTAATTACTTAACACTTATAAAGAAACCACTTTTTGCCAAAGATATGCAGTTCATTTGTTACTAACATGATTGGAAATGAATAACAAATGTGCAGGTTAAATAATTATGTAAATAAGATCATGGGTTTTGGAAATATTTGTAACCAAAATTGAAATTAAATAATTTTCTAATGAGATTATCTTACTTCACCAACAAATTCAGGTGAGTCGAAGAGTCAAATATCTAAGCATATTTTCTAGCTAAGATTTTAGTAACGTGCCTCCCTTGTGTATAATTTGGAAACAGTGAAAATGTTTTCCTACAGTATTCCATCTAAATAGATATGCAATTAGAAATGGCTGCCTTTCTCTTAGGTCTGTGTCAATTAAACAGTGAAAATATAAAGAAGTTATATATTTTTAATAAAATATATGATATTTTGATCTTTCTATGATGGAAGGGCTCTTCACTTATTAAACCTACCTAAATTAATTATAATCATTAAAATATTTATTTTTATAAAAGGTCTTTTGCATATCAAAACCACTCTGACATTTAAGATTTTCTTCAAAGGTCTTGAATAAGGAACATTCTAGCTAAATGTACATGTTTTATTTTTTAATCACTATATTATCATCACTCTCTGAACATCATAGCTCAAGATGTAAAATCAACTTATTTTACTTTTTAAAGGAAAGGTAGTGATAACTTTCATTTTTCATTTCACAATTTTAAGTAATTTTGCATTTAACAAAAAGGGACAGGAAAAGCTTTAGTCCAGTGATAGCAGTAACTTCATTTTTGACAATCTGTCATATCTAAAGTTTTTGAAAGTTCAGTCTCTTCTTTCAATCCAACACTTTTTGGATTATTTTTCCACATTTCTGCACTGAAATGCTCTGTGATCATCACCAGGTTAGGCTCTCCAGTAAGCCAATGCTGAGAATATAGTGATTATAATGTAGTGTGCAAGATGTTTACTAAGGAGTGTTCCCTTTGTGGAAGGGACAGGAAGGAACCAGAATTGGGCAGAAGGAGGGAACTGTGAGGCCCAATACCAGCTACAGGGAGCTCTTAAGCTCAAATTGCCTTTCAGAGTGTCCCAAGTCAGGCTTGGGGCAGAAGATGGCCAGACCTGTATATACTTGGATATTTACCTCCCAGGGAGGGGAATGACGTTGGGTGAAGGATTTTCTGCAGCTAAGACCGTTAAAGTGGAGCCTAAAATTAAAGGCTTTTGCTGACAGCACGCCCAGCAGCTGGAGCAAGTCTGTTCTAAAGAGGCATCTGAGTAGCACATAGCATATTTTCAAATCCAAAGATACTCGGTTCTTATTACACACTCTAATGCAATTGACCACACTGGCCACTCCGATTTTAAATCTCTCTCCTCTTGACTTCCATAACTTTCTGCTTATTTTCCTTCCTACTCTGTAACAATATCAGTCTTTTCCTTTTCTTTCTTCTTATTGGCCTGTTTCTCAGTGCTTATACCTCTCCTCACTTTTTGGTTCTCCTTACTTATCACATCTGCCTGGGTGATCTCATCCAACAGACACATATATGCCAAGTTTTAGTTTTGAATATTCACTATTCCACCGTCCCTGGACATTGCTTAGATATCCTGCAAATGAAATCAACAATCTCCTCTTCCTTTTCAGAACACACTTCCCTTCTTTTATTTCTTCTCTCTGTAAACTTCATGACATCAACCCAGTCTCAAGAGCCACATACCTATTGAAATTACCTCCTAGTAGGCCTCACTTTTATTCTCCTTTTACATTCTTTTGACCACTAACTTAGGCTTTTCAGCAGCCTCCTGGTTGGTTTCGCTTGTTGTAGTCTTGCTGTAGTGCACCATCCCCAAATCAAGCCCAATTGGCCCCAAACACACACCATAACCAAATCTACAATTGAACTCTTATCACAGTTCTCTTTCTCTTAAAAAAATGAACAGAAAATTGGAAGATGGGAAATTCTTTAGGGTCTGTCTTGAGCACTGTCAGGCCATACCCAGGGAGTCTGCCTCTTACTTTAGCATTTAGCGATACCTATTGCTTATAGTTTCCAACTCCCAATCCATTGACATCTACTGCCTGTTTACCACTTCCACTGGCTTTTTAAAAACCCTTTCATCATTTTAGTTTCTCCTCCCTTCTTCTCCCCCACTCCCCAAGCTCCCATCATGCTGAGCAGCACCTTTGCATTTCCATAGCTGTCTGTCAATATCTCTGTTGACTCAATATTTACCAGGTTAAATTGAACATTCTCTGTTTATGCCTCTCTTATGCTACCAGACTGTGCATTTCTCAAAAGCAAGGACTATCACATGGCAAAGTCCAGGGCTTGGCACATATTAAGCAATCAGAGCTGACACAGAGTTTTTGAACTGAACCACATGTCTAGAGTTTAAGACATCTGCTGAGTAGTTGATAAAAGCAAGCCATTACTATAGTGCATCCTCACTTGTTATTCTGATTTTAAGGAACAGACACCTCATTCTAGCAAATAAAATAGAGGTTTATCATAGGAAGGTATTGGAACTGGGGAAATAAAGCCATTCTGAGGACTTGCTATTTATTTCTTAGCCTTTCTCATTACCCATCTGTTTCATTTCTTAGATGTCTCTGATTCTCTTGGTAGGTCAGATCCTCATAGATATGGTGGAACACAAACCCCCAAGCTCCCCCACCAACATTCCTTTGTACCCTTGCCCCATTACTAGTGTCCTACTTCACAATATAAATTTCTGAGACTGAAAAAACCTAACTGAACCCTCAACTTTATGCACAAGGTGCTTGTCCCTGGTTTAATCAGCTGTTAGATATAAAGTAGAGAGGAAGACAGAGTGATATGGGCCTTCGCCAGCAGCTGTGGATGGGGTAGTTTAATTCTAAAGAGGCTGCAGATGAGCAGGGCATCCTGGTGAGTCCTAATGAGGATCTGCTGTGAGAGTGAAGGTGAAAGGACAAACAAGCACCTGGCCTGCCCTCCAGATGCTTATAATTCACTCATACAGAATTGACTATAATACCAGGCAGGCAAACATGAAAAGGAGTCCGAAGGTGGGAGAGATTAATTTTTTTAAAAAAAGAACAATAAATGCAGAAATTTCTCTGCACAAGGAGACATTTGAATAACTAGTGATAGAAGAAAATAGTGGCAGAGATGATTACAAGGTGTATTCCACAGAGGCTGAAGAAAAGTGGAAGTAAGTTACAAGGGTCCAAATTGGGAGGCCTACCTTAAGAGAAAAGCAAAAAATAGAGTCTGGAGCAATTACAAATTGCATTAGAGGAAGAATAGGAAGAGAGACAATTGGAAAGAAACCTAGAAGCCACTCAAGAGGGCCTTTAATACTGGAATAAGACATGTTTTCTTCATTTTATAGTAATTGGGAGCCATTAAACATTTTCTAGAAAATTATTCCAGCAGCAGCCATCAGGGTGGAGTGACACAATGGCAAATTCTAAGAGGGAAAATTCTTACGGTATCAGAGAGAGTTAATCAAAGGAGTTGTGACTGTGGGAAGGCAGGAATTGATGCTGGGAATGTGCACAAATAAGAGAGCCAGGGGAGCCACTGTGTGAGTGGAGAAGGCAGAAGTGGCCCTTTTCATTCAGTGGTTTTGAGTTTTGTTGAAAGCAAAAGGGAGGGTGAGACCTTCACTGGCGCTAAGGAACATGGGAAAGGGATAAAGTCTGGGGGAAAATGTTAAGAGACTATGAGTAGGGGTTACATAGTATGAGACAAAATAAATTTCTGAAAGATCTGGGACAGCACCCAGAGAAGGGAGATTATATGAGATCCAAGAAACATTCTAGAATAGAGGAGACTTTAGCATATTTAAAAGCTATGGGAAGGGATCCTGTAACTATTTCATGGTATATTGTGATGATTAAATAAGATGATGCTTAGGGAAAAGTGCTTAGCACAGTGTCTGAATATTCTAACTTCTCATTGTCAGCTGCTGCCAATATTGTTACTTTCAATGCAGGTTCTGTTTCAGTTTATGTTACTAATTCACAGATGCAGGTGGTGGGGAGACCTCTTAGCTGTGCCAAACCATTCAAATTAATAAATGTACTCTCTGTTGTGCTACAGTATCCACTTAGAAGAGAACAGCAGTCACAGCAGTGACATTGTCTGAGAACTAGTGCTAGTCTACTTCTGGTTTTCCTGAGATTGAAGGCAAATTAATTTCTTTACCCTGATGTGGGAAGTGAATAAGAATAGAATCTTGCATATCACAATATGAGATTTAGATGAAATCCTATAAACAGCTTCTTGTTAATAGTATGGTCTTCTAAATATTTGCTCCCAATTTTAACACATTATTGGACACCAACGAACATCCCATCAATAATCACCATCACGTAATCAATCAAAAAGTTACACTGGATTCATATGTGAAAAAATCAAGCTTAAACGTCATTAGATTTAAGTATTATTATATAATCTTACTCAGAAATAAATCTGTTATTAGGTCAGAAATACCTAACAAGCTATTGTAGCTCTCTTGGTCCAGATGGGTATTTAATCAAATTAATAAGAAACAGGCAGTTCAGTTTGTGTCAATAGAAGGACATTGTTCCCATTACTCCTTTATTAATTCATAAGAGGTTAATAAATAACTTACTTTGAATAAAATAAATCACTGTAGATAAAAACTGTGTCCCTGGCACATATAAAAGTTAATAGGTGCATAAAGATGCATGGAAACCGCATGGTGTGAAGGTTACTGGGTCCACCCAAACCCTAGATTCTTGTATCTGTGTGCATACTGGAGCCTGATTGGCCCAACTCCAGTTGAAAATAATTTTCTTGAGGTGACATTCCATCTCTTGTGCCAATTGAAAGTCTTAGCTCCTCCAGAGGAGCAAAAAATATCAACAAAATATAAACTTGACCTCATTTCACACCTAAGCGCACCATTCTGATTGTTTTACTGGACTCCTCAGCGAGCACATTTGGTTTGTTTACTGCAGTTATAAACCAGAAACTGCATTCTATGTGTCCTGTATTATCAGGTCACTAAATCTAGAAAGAAAACGTGGAAAAGTTCAATATCATAATGATTCTATTATAAAGAATTAAACATTTTTCCTGTTGATCATATGTTTCGTGATCGCTGCTAATCTTAAATTTTCATATCTCCTGGTAAACTTTATTTTGCCTTAGCTCATAAGGAATAGTAACAAAAGAAACAAAAAGGCAAATGATCTGAGAATTACAATTCTTTAAATAAATATGATTTGGGCAATCAGGTGTTAGTGTATGTGCCAGAAAGTTTATTTTAATATACAGCTAGAAATAGGCTTCCAATCACAAGTCACTTTTGTAAATAGTATCCTCTCTTATGGGGGAAGCTATGTGCCCTCCTGAACACCTGGTTAAGAACATGTTCACTTTCATGTGTGCTCTGAGCTGCCTTTCCTCCAAATAAAAATAGAAACTAGTTTGCAGCACCACACGGGGCTCCAGCGTATTATATGAGCCTATCACTGGTTTCCTTTGATATCTTATCTATTCCATTAACTCAATAAAATAGAAGGCAAAGCTGGGGACAAACTGTAGGAGGGCTCCCCTTGGAAAACACATGCAAGACCTTTAAGCTGGGGCTTTAGCTTATCTAATAAAAGCCAGTTAAATGGAAGCTAATACTTCATTTTTCACCCCCTTTATTAAAGATCATAAGTACTGCAACTCAGGAGTAGAGAAAATAAAATAAATATATGGAGGAGTACAGGTAGAGGCAATAAAGAGCATGGCTTATCTATTTTCTCAAGATTTAGGAAGCACTTGAAGGCAAAACTCACAGACAAGCATTTTAAAAATCCATAACAAAGGCTCCTGCTTCTTAGCAAATACAGTGGTCCTTTCTGGCTGCAGTAATCCTGCTGGATTTCTTAGTAGAATATAAACAGCTTAACCTAGGCATAATCAGGGAGGATGCCACCTACCACGCTCTCCATATTATACTTTTATATAAATTTAGTAATTCAGATTAAATAAAAAGATTGATGAATCCACTCCTCTGCTCCTCCACCACCCAAAGAGAAACAATACTAGAACTCAAACTCTAACAACCAAACTAAGGAAAGTGTTCCACCTAGAGACTGTTTTCATGAGTCAAAGTGGATGAGAGCTCATCTAGGAAATGAATATTATTTTAGCCTATCCTTGCAAGTTTGTATTAAAAAATGAAGCAAAAGGTATTGCCCCTGGTGTAATTAACAATGTTAATCTTCTTTTTCCTGTCTATGGTGATAAAGCAGTCATTTTTATATTTAATTAATGCAGAAGATCATTTTGGAAACTGGCTAATGAGCCTCTGATCACATTACCATGAAAATGTGCATTAACATTGCAACTGAGGAGGCTGTTTCATGTGTAGCAAATCCACTTTGTAATTAGCCCACTGTGAAATGAATCACGTCAGGGGGAAATCTGAGGGAGCCAGTAGTCAGTGGGCACTTGGCTACTGCTGTGCCATGGGCCACCAACATCCCAAGCATCGTCCTTCATCAGCAATCTTGTCTAAGAACAAATGTAGCACTGTGTCACCTTTGGGACAAACTGGAAGAAGGGAGAAATAAACTTTATTTTGCTAGATAAGAAATTCGAACTTGAGCATACACTCCCAGGGGAACCTCCCCCAATAAAACAGTAAGTTAAGAAAATTCTGTTAAAACTATAAAGGCTCAGGATCTAGTTTTCTTATTTGTATTCCTAAAAGCCCTCAGATACACATAAAAGAGACATCTAAATTTATACACTTTTTTCTAGGTCACCTACAGTTGTTGTAATAAGCTCTCAAAATTAATTTCTAGTGCTAAACAAACAAAAACCTTATAAAAAGGATCCAATAACAAGTGGTAAGAGAATTTCTTTATCTCCTGTTTCAGCCAGGACATAGCATATATTTTTTCCTCATGTAATACAAAATTACTAGGTCTTCCTCTTAAACCAAAGCACAAATTCTCAATTCATCCAATAATTTCCTATGGCTAACAGGATTTGGCAGGAAACTTCTCCTGTCTATTGAAAATAACTGAGATCATAGACCCATTAAACCCCAATATTTATGCAGACAATGATACAATTGATTTTCAAATGTCAACAGTATTCCAAAATGAAAGAGATATCTCAAAATATTACAGACATGGATCTCAGTGCTACTCCTGTTATGTGACTGACATCTTGGCAGTAGATACACAAAATGTTAAAAAGAATCCCACAGGAAGTCATCTGAAGGGGGAGTGGCAAGGAAGCTGAAAACTGCCACCCAAAACCAAAATTAAAAGCCCCAAACCAGCAAGTCTGCCCTCAATTCTGAAATGTACTGAAAGAAAAAATAAAGCTAGCCAGAATTCATTTACCGTCTTTCAGACAAACACAAAGCCTGGCTCTTAGTTGCTGGTATCAGACCCTGCACTCACCTGGGAAACTTCATACAGCAGTTTGTAGTGTTCCTCTCTTTTCTGAAAAGTGCACAAATTGCAGCCCATTCTAAGAAGCAGAGAGAGAGAGCAAATCTTCTAATTTCCCCAGAACTGAAAGGCAAGTGAACTGAAAGGGAATCACCCTCCAGACTTGACTACTGTTTTTCATCAGTCACTTCAGTCCAGAAACACAGACAAACCGCTGTTAGCTGGAAGCGTAAGCCAGAGTGGTGTGTAGCAGCATGCTCTTCTTCGCTTTCCCTAAGTATCTTGCACTCACGGATACACACACAGAGTTTCCAGTCAGTTCATGGCAACACTCCCCCGTCTCTGCATCAGTGCACATGACTACACAGATTCCAGCTCATGAATATTAATAGTGCCTCATTGATTATTTATGACAGAACATGTTAGCAGGGAGGGGTGTCATAGCTGCTGCTGATGACAGATGAATATTCACTAATTAAGAAGCAAATGTAGTGTGGTTAAACAAAATTCACTTGTGTCAATACCATCTCTGTTTATTAAGGATAGAGGGGTTGCATATAGGGCATTTGAAAAAAAACATACACTTAATTTCTCCATTGATATAAGCTTTTAATATGGGAATAAGAAATTCAGAAACAGAAATATACTTAGTTTACATATCCATGCTCTGCAACAAGAAGGAGAAATATTTTTAGCATTATTAAACCTAGGGGAAAATGAGTAGGGATAATTATTTACATTTATAAAATAAACACAGAAGCAAAGGAAATTTGGGGGGGTGACATGGAAAAGGAAGAGAAGGCAGGGGCATCATTCAGTTTTAATTCTGATACTACAAAAATAACTGAATAGTTCATATGTAAAGACCATTACTTACTAAGGAGGAAATAAGGGATATTCTCTTAATTCTAAAGAATATTTAGCAAGTATTAGCAGATGATACTTGTACAGATAATTAATATTTTAATTAGATAATGAAGGCCCATCTATTGAGTATATATTTGTAGCATATAACGCATGTAGATTTGTATTCAAAAAGTAGATCAACACAATGCCTTTTCTAAGAAAAATTTCAAATGCTTATAGTATTTATGCTAATTTTATTAAAGTCATATATAATATTTTACAAAGCTGATACTGGCAATAGTTAAACTTGAATGTAATGCACAATGACTCCATTTATGATTCTATATTTAGAGTTCATAATGATCAAAGGTGAACAGAGACTTAAAAACTAAGCTTAGATGTTTAGATAACAGAAGTAATGCATTTCATTTCACACTCTTGCAAATACATGTGTTGTATTGCAAGCTGGCAGTTTTTGTCCCTTAAAGATATACTACAAACAGCTAAAGCAGATAATAAAAGAAAATTCCTTTTGTTCCCACACTGACTTATCCACACCCTCTGCTAATTAAGAAGTATGTCCTTGTTCCAGCACATCTTTAAACCGGACAGGATAGCAGGTGGGTTCCAAAGCAAAAATAATTACTTGGAAACTGACGACTCTGGTTAGGAATTACACTGGATCTTGAGATTTTTAATTGCTTATCACTGACGAATAGCTACGTTTTGGGGTCCAGTTTCCTAAAAGTGCTTTGTCACATGTTTAGAATCGATAACAGGAAATGATTCTAATGAGCACTAATTGTTAACAAATTGGCTTTGCAACTAGCAACACCTCAACACCAGCAAGTAGCAAGGAGATGAACAATCATCTGCTGCTTATCAGTTGTTTCCCTTGGGATGTAATAATCCGATTTTCTGGGCCTAATTTCACCTAACAGCCTGGATGAAAGCCAAGCTGAGAGACCTACATGAAAGTGGCATCATAATTGGGAACAGTGTGTGTGAAAAAAGTTCTCCAGGACTTCTAGCAAATTAGAAACCACTTGTAGGAGATATTAATTTTAGGACTTGATTCCTCTATGGAAAGAATGTTTTCAAAAAGGTATTTGAAGTGGCCTTTATAAAAATTCATGGTGGCCACAAACATAAGCAATCTCCTTCTTCTCAGGTGCAACTGTAAAACATAAATGTCTGATGCTTTTGAAAGTTTTAACTTCTCTAAGCCTCTATATCACTTCCCATGAAGTATTCTCATGCTAGAGTTCACATCCTCAAAGCAAACATTGACTATTTCTTTGAAGGATTCTAAATTGCTGAGTTGTGGAAGAATTATTGATTCTCAGATGTTCATACTCTGTATTTTATTTTATTTTATTTTACTTTTTTGAGACAGAGTCTTGCTCTGTTGCCCAGAGTGGAGTGCAGTGGTGCCATTTTGGCTCAGTGGAACCTCTGCCTCCCAGGTTCAAGCGATTCTTCTGCCTGAGCTTCCTGAGTAGCTGGGATTACAGGTGTGTGCCACCATGCCTGGCTAATTTTTTGTATTTTTAGTAGAGACGGGGTTTCACCATGTTAGCCAGGAAGGTCTCGATCTCCTGACCTCGTGATCTGCCTGCTTCGGCCTCCCAAGGTGCTGGGATTACAGGCGTGAGCCAACGCACCCAGCCCATACTCTGTATTTTTTTAAAAGTCAGATCAAGGAATTAGAGTGCAGTAAGGCAAAGATGGCTCACCCTTCTATCAATGAAAATGTTTGCTTTTTCCACTGATAAAACTCTCTTGTGTGATAGGTTATGAAAGCCAAGTAAGAAATTTAATTATCAAAACTGCTTCTTATTGGAGCTCTCTTCTCTGTAAATGCAGTTTGCATTTAAAGAACAATGAAACAATCATAGCTTTAAAAATATTTTCTTATTTATCAAAAAGTATAGAATGAACATTCTAGGGAAGTAAGCAAGTTCAAATAGAAGCTCACCCTTCAGCAGCTCCTCCTGGCTGTTTTCTTTATTCATTCCTAATCCCTCTATTCTTGTGTTTCTATCTCAGGAAGCAAGGGCAGCTTTTCCAATCATGTATCAAATGCTGCCCTTGGCCCATTTACCCTGGAGAGATTCTACCTTCTGCTTCTAATGGACTCATCCTATAGAACTGAAGAGTGACTTGGAAAAGGGAGATTCATAATTCCAGAGTTCTCTAAATTTCATTAGAATATGATGGTTAAGTTTTCCAATAACTAAATCTTGCATTGGAGCATAAAGTTAGAAGTAGACAGGGACAAAAGCATTCATCTGAACACTGCCCTGAAAATGCAAATAGAGCAGATATTATCTGTCTTGGGCAATAATAATACGGGATAAAAAATAAGTAGGGAATGAAGAACTATCTTTCCAAGTATCCTTAGAAAATAAACTCATCAAAATGTAAAAACATAAGTCGTGTGTGTATTTCAAGATATAGTTACTTATTTTAAATGCCTTTAATTTGTGTGAGTTTACTCCACACAATTTTATTGGCATTCAAAATAGGACACATTTGTCAAGATCTAGACTGACGTATAAGAGGCTAAACTGGCAAGTGAAAGGAAGGAATCCAACATTTTTCTTGCTTTTTCCATATAAACTGTACTACTGAGTAGCAAAAGAGTAGATGAGAGGGAGTTTCTCTTTATAGAATTATTCTGACTAATAATTGAAGATTAAATGATAGACTGTCATGCCAGCAGTCCTTAATTCATTCAAGGATCTAAGTACTGTGAATGAATGGTGTCTAGCATGACACACTCACACACACACGAGATAAGTGTACAATATGTGCCACCTGAGACAGAAAAATTACACGGCCCTTAAATTAGCCTTTTCAAATGTGAGCAAATGTCAGCGAATGCAGAGAACAGAGGAGCATATTAAGCTAAACCATGGGGATGCAATCAGCTAAATTCAGACTGTGAGCAACACTACATAGACAGGTGCATATTCCAGTTTCAGAGATAAAAAGAGAAAGAGAGAGAGAAGACGAAGAGGAAGTCTACAGATTTAAAAAGATTTTAATAACAATAAAAGGTCATTACTCTATATTTTCACATATACATATCATTTGGTTGATAAAATTCTAAATAAAAGTAGGAAAATGATTACCAAAAAAGTCAGGATGGTGGTTACTCTTTAGGAAGGGACACCAGAAAGTTTCATCATGGCCAGCAAAGTTCTAACTCCTGATAGGGGCAGTAGTTTTCCTAGGTGGTCACATTACTATTCATTAAACTGACATTTGTTATTGGTGTTTTCTATATTTTTGTTATATTTAACAATAAGACTTCAAAAAGACTAATTTACAAAAGAGGCTGTGCCTATGTCTCATCCCTGGCTGCCAATGTAGTACATAATTGTGCCCCTTATCAAGAAAGGAATAGAAAATCCAAGTGAGCCTATTCTGAATCACCAATCCCATTGAGCCTGTGACAGCTGTCATAAATTTCAGATGATGGCTTGCTTATGCCTTTTGCAATGACTCCAGTGTTCTTTTCCTGTGCCAGTGTGGAAGTTCCGTACGTAACTCCGCTTGATTACCCTCTCTTTACCCTTGCCACTATCACATGCAGATCTTCCAACTCTGCCTGCCACCTACCTTGACATGTGGCTTACAAATTTCTAGTCCCAGTTCTGCATTCATTTCAGGAGATACTTACGTGCTTTTGAATATTAGTAGACACGTAGCTGCCTAACATTTTCTGCAGTTAAATACCTTCTATGTAATCATAAAGACAAAGAACCTGAGGCCCAGAGAGACTGTGACTTGTGGAAGGTCAACCTGAGTAAAGACATCTGAACTCAGTTTTCCAACGACAAATTCTGTGGTGGAATTCAATCTCTAACATCCTGAGCTGTCTTTCTTGCAGAGGAAGCTAGAGCTACACGAACATGTCTTTATTTGATGATTGAGGAAATGGAGGAAAGCATCTGAAAGTGCTGAAATTTAAGAAAATAAAAGAGAATAAATTTTCAAAGACAGATGTAGCTTAAAATAAAGGGAATGGCTTGTGGTTAAAGATGTAAACTTTATGTATTAAAATGCTGAAATTTTTTGAATGTCACAGCTAAATATCTTTTATCAGCTAATGTCCCACAATAATCAGTAATTAGGAGCTGTACCTGAACACACACTAGGATGACCAGCTTATCTTCATATGCCTGGGACTTTGTTGGTTTTGGCACTGAAAGTTTTAAATCCTGAATTCCTTAGTTCTGCACAAACCGGTCATTTGAATACACGATTCTTTTTTCAGGCTCCAGCAAAGCTGAACTGCTCTATACACGTCTACATCTCCCTACCTGTGCTCCAGATGTTACCTCATTCTGCTTATTCTTTGGAAACCCCACAAATTAAACTATCCACCCAATTGTCCAGTTTAAAGGCTCCTTCTTCCTTGATCCCATCAGCTAGCAGTAACTTCTTCAACTTCTGAATTCTTGGTGCATTTTATCCCTACCTATTTGAAGGCACAAATTACTTCTCCTTCACATCATTTTTAGATGCATGCTTTACCTCTCTTATTGGACTATAAGACATGTAAGAGCAACATTAACATTTAATTGATCTTTGAGCCCCCAAAACTCATAGAATTGTACCTTTCACATTCTGTGCCTTTAATAAACATATATTGAATTAATGAGTGTAACTGGGGGATGACAGCATGCCTGAGTTGGGCAAATTGACATAAATTTATGTTTGTAACACACATTAGCAATGACTAATTGCTATATGACATTTTCCCCCATAGGATTGCTTCAAGAATATTAAAGAATATTCTTAGTATTCAAGAATATTAAGTTAAAAGGCTGAAAGGCCATGAACATAAACCATTTTTAGTTTGATTCAAATCCATAAACATAAATTTGAAAGTCTATGAAAGAAAAACATCGGTGACAGGTATATAAATGAGTACTGTATGATTCAAATGTGCTTTGTCAGTTGTGTATTTATGTGTATACACTATCTGTACGTTTAAATTCACGTTCTGCTCTACATATCAGCAAATTATTCACTTATTTATTTCACAAATATTTACTGTGTGCTTATCATATGTCTGGTAGTATATGAATGCCAGATTTTTGTAGTTGTATATCATCTAATTTTCACTCTATCTCTGAGGTAAAGATGTCAGATATTGTCCTTTATTAATACAGAAATCATTAGATGTTGAGATTTCTAATGCTGGAAAACCTAGAACTTTGCCTTTTGATTCTAATCTAGTTTTATTTTTAACAGCACTGTGCAACATTAACTAACATCATGAATTTAGAAAGATGCTTCTGCTAATAGTTCCCATGTGTCATCCCCTCCTTGGTTATAGCTCAACAGATCAATGTGTAAGCAAGCATCCTTTCCTCACTGTGTTCACTAGTTGAACATCTTCAATTTGCATTTAGTTATTGCTTGCAGAATGAAGAGTGCCTCACCAACTTATGAACTCCTAAGAGTTGTCACAAACATTATTAGACTAGACTCCAATGGAAAGAAAGAGCATAACATTTCAAAGAAGAAGACTAGGCTTCTCATCTGAGCCTTGTCACTGTCACCTGTGTGGGCTTGTACAACTTACATGCTCTGAGATAACACTTACCCTACAGGCTGACTGTGAAGACGAAATAAGGTAACAGACCTGAGGAAGATTCATGAACTATGAAGTATTCTGTCCTATTGGCGTGCTGGTTAAGCATGGTTTCTGGAGTCAGTGTGCCCTGGGTCAAGTCTCAGTTTCCCTGATCTCTATTGATGTAATGTGGGGCAAATCATTATTGTTTTTTCAATCTTCTCTGTTTCTTGGTTTCTCGTCTCTAAAACAGGGATAATAATAGCACCTACTATACAATTATTGCAAGAGATGAACTTGCTGTGATGATAATTTGTGTCAAGTATACCTGGCACAGAGTACGTATGTGCCCAATACTTGTTGGCCATTAGTAATCACAGGACTAAGTATAATGATAATGATGACTTTCATTTTCAATTTCCAAGTTGATATGGTTTGGATCTGTGTCCCCACCCAAATCTCATGTCAAATTGTAATTCCCAGTGTTGGAGGTGGGGCCTAGTGCGAGGTGATTAGATCATGGTTTACCAACTTCATGAATGGTTTACCACCATCCCCTTGGTACTGTTCTCCTGAGAGGGTCCTCACAAGATCTGGTTGTTTAAAAGTCCGTAGCACCACTCCCATCTTGCTCCTGCTCTCACCATGTGAGATGCCTCTTTCCCCCTTTGCTTTCAGTCATGATTGAAAGTTCCCTGCAGCCTCCACAGAAGCAGAAGCCTCTATGCTTCCTGTACAGCCTGCACAACTGTGAGCCAATTAAACCTCTTTTCTTCATAAACTACCCAGTCTCAAGTATTTCTTTATAGCAATATGAGAACAGACTAATACATGATTTATCTTTACAATTTTTGTTATGTTAAATCTCTATTACATTGTTTGAAATTTTATACTTCTGTTCACCTTGTTTGCCATTGTACACTGTGCAACAACTTCTAAAAGGCTTTTTGTTTCCTAGTTCTTTATATAACAGAAATAGTTGCACAGAAGTACTCATTGTGTAAATGTGATGCATGCACACACACACACCCCTCTATTTCTTTTCTATATAAAGAATGTAATACATACAGAGTAATAATTCTCATATTCTATTTCTTTCTTTCTTTTTTTTTTTTTTAGATGGAGTCTCGCTCTGTCACCGGGCTGGAGTGCAGTGGCACAATCTCGGCTCACTGCAACCTCTGCCTCCTGGGTTCAAGTAATTCTCCTGCCTAAGCCTCCCAAGTAACTGGGATTACAGGCACATGCCACCACACCCAGCTAATTTTTGTATTTTTAGTAGAGACAGGGATTTCACCATGTTGGCCAGGATGGTCTCGATCTCTTGACCTCGTGATCCACCCACCTTGGCCTCCCAAAGTGCTGGGATTACAGGCGTGAGCCACCGTGCCTGGCCTATTTGTTTCTTTTAATGCACAATGTGTGAATAAGGAAGACATAAGTGTACTAGAAACCAATAATGGCATCTGAAGCAAGATTTCTTGCAATCATAAAACAGGGAGTCCAGTGACATTTCTTTTGGTCTAGTCACGACTACTAATCTAGCCCCGTATAAAGTTGGCTTTATTTATTTGATCATATAGAGGCCAAGGTACCATGTTTGGATAATGTCACACCATTCAGCAACATCACAGGTATTATGTAGGGTTTCCACTGAATGCTACTATCACTATTTTTAGTTCTGCAAAAGTGGTCTAGTAAAGCTCAGTACAAACTTTCATTCAACCAGTATTTATTGAATAGTAGTGTAAGTACAGCAGTGATAATACGTAGACATTTTAAAAAATAAGAGCTAACACCTATTTAGTACATTTTGTATGCCATTGTTCCAGCACTATATGGTATTCATTGTATTTAATTCCCACATTAACACTCTGAGATGTGCACTCTTAATATATCCTCTCTGCATGGGAAGTAAATAGGTCACATGAGTAGTAAATGAGGGAGCCAGGATTCAAACCCAAACAATCTGCATCTACTACTTAACCAGTACTTTCCATTGCCTGTCACTCAGAGACAGTCATCATTATGACAAATTCCTAGAGGGCCAGAAGAAGGAATTCTGGTGATGCTCACAGCACACTGAGATGTAAGGATTTCCCCAAGGACTGGAATCGTAGTCTAAAATTAACTTCCAGGTTCCCTGTTGTGTCCTCAAGCATGGCTACATAAAACAGATTGAATAAAACCTAAGCAATTTCATAACCTTACTCCACTCCACTGGTGATTGGGTACTGCTGCATTGAATATGTACTGATAACTGTAGAATATTTTTCCTTCTTGGTAGTTATTATGGTAGGCAATATATGGGCTGATATTAGGGCAGTCATTTTACATCTCTGTTTTAAGGAATAATCAACAGCTACTTAAGGCAGGTAAATTTGGAGGTTTTAAGAAAAGTAAAGGTAGAGATTTACCGATGACTCTAAATATATATCTCCAGACTTAATTTCCCTCTTAATTTCAGACCCATCAATTCATTGACCACTGACGTTTCCATTGGGACTATTAAAAACATATTAAATTCTACCTAGCAAAACTTAACTCATGGTTCTTTTCCCCCATAACTGTTTCTCCACACGTTCTCCATATCACAGAATGGCCTGACTATTCTCAGGCACTCAAGTTTGAGGTTTGAGCATTGCCTTGGCTCTTCCCTCTCCCTACATCTAGTGACAAGGCCCTGTCAATCTGAACTGTGCAGTCTCTCCTTCCTTCATTTCATCCTCTCCTATGCCACTTTCCTAGATTCAGGATATCATCTTCTCTCAGCCAGGTCTTGCATTCGCTCATGAGCGTCTGGAGTTTCTAATGGTGTGAGGAGCAAGTTGTTGATTTCTTGCTCTTCTCTGCCTACACACACACATTTGTAAGCCCATCTTGCCCCTGATTCCCTGGTCGCAACTCCTCTCACTCTTGCTCACTCTTGCTATCATACACACATACATATACACTTGCACACACACGTGCATGTACACAAAAGAGAACACAAAACAGAAATTTCTGCTTTAAGAGCAAAGGTTACAACTCTGCTAACATGACTCTGTCTTTTTGGTATATTTCTCTCTTTTTTTAGAGTGTGGACAGTTCTATCTGGTACTGCAATACATGTTCATTCCTCTCTCAACATTGGATTCTGCTCAAATATTCAGTCATTATAATGGTAGTCAAGGTATATAAAGGTCCCAGATCTCATGGAGCAAACATTATTGTGAGAAGAAAGCATAAGTAAACACAAGCTATGGTTATATAACATTTCCAGACAATAACAGGGTCAACACAGGAAATTAACACAGGGTGGTATAATAGGGAGTAACCAGATCATCCTTCTTAGATATTCTAGAGCCTGGAATGTGCTTTCCTGTCTGCTTTATTCCCTGCCTGCTTATATGCATGCATATATATAACCAAGTACAGATAAATCAAAAAAAGTAGGCAGGTAGTGGGATAGGAAGTAAAGAGACGAGTTTTGTTTTGTTTTTGTTGTTGTTTTTTTGAGATGGAGTCTCACTCTATTGCCCAGGCTGAAGTGCAATGGCGTAATCTTGGCTCACCACAACCTCTGCCTCCCGGGTTCAACCGATTCTCCTGCCTCAGCCTCCTAAGTAGCTGGGATTACAAGCACCTGCCACCATGCCCAACTAATTTTTGTATTTTTAGTAGAGACAGGGTTTCACCATGTTGACCAGGTGGGTCTGGAACTCCTGACCTCAGGTGATCTGCCCACCAGCCTTCCAAATTGCTAGGATTACAGGTCTGCGCCAGGTGGTCAGGACCTGAAGTTTTCTCAACCTTCGGGATCCTAGAAAATCCCTTCTCTGTTGTGTTCCTTGCATTTTCAGACCTAAATCATTCAATTCCCACTTTTTTCCATCATGAAAATGGTCCTCATATGGTTGTCTAAAACATTAGCACCAAAAAATCGACATGTTAATATCCATTAATTTCTGTGAAACTGATAATATAGAATGTTTAATTGCATTACACATTCTGGCCCAGGACACATTATCATCAGAATGAGCATGTATTCGGATGCTTGTTAGACTTTGAAGTAATCTAGAAGTATATTTGAGCCTCACTCTAAAAAACTTGTATGAAGTTGAACAAGTTACACATTGAGGTGTGCTGAAATGCCTCAGTTCCTCACTATGAAATAGGGATATTCATAGTACCTACCACAAAGGGGTCTTACGAACATGAACTTTACCCAGTGCCTGCTGCATGTACGTGTTCAATAAATATTAGTTAATATGTTATAGCTTATAATATAGCCTTGCCAAAGTGTCTAAATTCTAGCATTGTGAAAATATTCCAAAAAACAGGCAGCCATATTATTCCTTTGTCTATATTTTGGCAAATGTCTAGATGGATACTTTGGAGCATCAATTTTTCTCCAGGAGCAGTTAAATTCCTTTAAGATAAAAATGGTTGGTGTCATAGTGACTGGCAGCCAGGGAGAAGCAGAAAACAGCCATATGGTTACAGGAGGTAGAAACTGGGCTAAGACATGGACCATCCAAGTTCTGCAAATGTTTGCTGAGAACTTCCTATTCACCATACTTTATGCTGGCTTCTAGATCCATAGCACTTAACTAGGGGTGTGTGTAGGAATCAGCTGGGAAGATTTTTCAAGTTGCAAGTGCACAAGCTCAATTCCTAGGGCTTCTGAGTTATTCATAGCAAATCTGAGATGGGCCTGGGAATATGCATTTTTACGCATCCCACAGAAAACTCATTTGTGTGCATCCATTCCTTCCTTCTAAGTCTACATGTAAGGTATTAAACTAGACAAATTCTTGAATGCCTCACATCATTATAATTTCTGATATGCTAACTTTTGTGATTATGAAGATTACTGGATCTGTTACTAATTTGAAAAGGAAACTAACATTTAAGAAACACCTATTTTATCTAAAGTTTTTTACATCTCAAAAAAATTCTATTAAGATGTGCATTTTCACATTTAAAAACTCAGGTTCAAAATATTGTGCAATTTGATCAAAGTCACACTGTTAATTGAATGGAGAAGCTGGCATTTAAATACAAATAGGTTTGATTCTAAGATCATGCCTTTTTCAATAAGATATACTCTTCCCATGAGGACCCACTTCATTTAGCATAGCATCTTTGGTCCTGCATGCCATGAATGAAGAGTCAGTGGTAGAGGTGGTCTTGAATCAGTCATTGTTTCCTTGTGTAGTTTACCAGACATGTCCTACCTATGGGATGTAAAGGTGAGTAAATTCTTACTAGACCTGTGGGACAGGCTGGGATTTAGCTTCTAGGATCAGTTATGGGTTGGGCATAAAGAAGCCCCCACCGAACCTATCTACTGGTGGGACAGCAATTGGCCCAGCTGTTGGTGACAGGCAAAGAGAATTAAATGCTGTTTACTGGGTAACAGGATCTGTCTTGGATATGTCTGGTCCTTTCCCAGTGGATTTAGTTATTAGATTTCAGGGTCCACCTCAGCTTAACTAAGAAGCATTATACATTGATGGATTTAAAAACAAAAACAATTTTAGAAATTCTAACTTGAAACTGCAATTTCCATCTCAAATGCCCTAAGTGCTTTATCATCACTACTTTCTGCTCCTCATGAAACAGATTTCAACCGTAAGCAACTAAGCTCCAGACAGGTTGAACTTGGTGTCTAGAGATACTGGAAATCAAAAGAGAAATCACATATTTTAGAAGAGTGGATGGATTTATATTTTTGCTTGATAAGTTGTACATTATGGGAAATCATCTCATTAATACTGAACCCACTATATTTTGATAGGCTTTAGTAGGTTAAAGAAGACCCATTAAAAATCCGCAATTGCTATTGACTGAATTAGATCAACTACACAGTATTTGCATAACTCCTGATGAAATGCTTTCTAGTTGTTTGCTTAAGTTGAATAAAAAGTGAATCCTCTGACTCAAGTGTGAATGTGGACATATTTTTTTTCTGGCTTTATTTTATAGCACAGGAGACAGTAGTCCTTATATTTGGTGTCTTATTCTCATAGATGCTTGGAGAAAAACACAATTATATTTGAAGACCTCTCCTTTATGCATTGGTGTGGAAATTCTGTACAGGAACACCATCTGGCATGTAACAGAACATTACTTGTAAGAAAAAATTGTCCAGTTGTTCCTGGGACATTGGATTCTTTCCTAGGCCAATATATTTGAATTTTCTCTGCCCCAGTGTGTAGGAAGGGCTGAGCTTTCCTCCTACTCCTTGGCTATACTTCCACCTTCCATACTAGATAATGCCCAGCTTCTAGGTTACCTTCCTACCAGCTTGTTTCCTCACTTGTGTTAGAAAGTTAACTTTATTTTTAGGTCTTTCATTTTTAATTTTGTTTGAGTGTGTGTGTTCGTGTACCAACATAATGTTTTAAGTTTTAAAAACAAATCAATGGAATCATTTGCATTGCCTGGTATAATAATTTATTTAAAATTGATCGTTTTATTTTTCTCTTTTAATCTATTAAAAAGCCTGTTACTGAAAGTATTTTATTTTTTAATCATATGTTGTGAATGTTGTTTCGATCCATGCCATCTTCCTAATTGTGTCAGAGTCTTTGTGGTATATCAACTGACCTATTTTCTTTTCCCAGCCCCAGAAGACAATGTTTGCCAATGTCTTTGTATCTAAGTGGGGTGATATGACAAGCTGTGGTCAACTAGTTATGGGCAGAAGTGCAAGAGCATTGTCAGGCCTGGCCTCTTACATCTGCTGCTCTCAGTCTTTCTCTCCACTCACTCCAGGCTTGTAAGCATAAGCCACCAATGTAACAAAGTCACATAGTGGAAATAGATCCCTGACTCACTATCTGGAGAAAAGTCACTCAGAGGAGCTTCCTGACTTGCACATAACCCTTTATAAAGGAAAAATTCACCTTTTCTTCATGAAACTACTAAGTATTTGAAGACTGTTGCCCCAGCATAGCTTAGCATGACTAAGACTCAAAGTAAACACTTCTGAGTTCATGTATTAAGCAAATATATTTAAATTATAGTTAGCATGAAAAAATTCAATCCATTGAACCAAGTAACAGGTCATAATAGCTTCTAGCAACCAATTTTGTGTAAAGACATATAGCAACGTTATCTAGCATGATTGAATGATTATTCAGTAATGTCAGTATAAAAATTGTTAAGTTTCTCTACACACCATCCAAATTTTCATCAGATCATGTGTTTAATCATACATATGCAATATTTGTTTGGAATGAAGGGAGAACAAATCCAACATAAGGAAAGCTTTATATAATCAAACTAAGTATATACATGGTGTGTCATATAGAGCTAAAGATCCCTTGAAGCAAAATCACTGTCCGTTTCAGAAATATGAACTCTCAGAGGAAGTTTGCATTTTAACTGGCTTAAGATTGCAACTGCATAGCAAACAAATATTGCATAAGTAGTTTAAGCTAATTCCTTATCAAGCAATAAATATTTTTTCACAAAGCAGAGTAGGGCTTGCAGGAAACCAGACATAGAATGGACAGCATTTATTAATTTTTAGAGAACAGGCATTTCCAAAACATGAGGAACTTCCCAACATGGCAAGAGTAATGGAGCCATATGAGCTTTGGAATACAACAGTCATGGGCTTAAATTCCAACCCTACAACGTGAACTACAAGACCATGTTTAACTCTGAGTCTGTTTCTCCATTTGTGAGATGGAGTTTATAGCTTCTTCCTCATGGTGCTGCTGATAGGACTGATTACCTGAAATGACTGATCCTCATATATTAACTATCTTTTCTTACCCCAGCTCCCCATAGCCTTATCACTTTCTGAATGATTTGGAAAGATTACAATCACTAACTGTTCAAAATCATAATGGCAAATTCACATCAACTTTTTAACCAGTGGGAGTAGGAGTCCAATGGCAAAATAAACAGAAAACTTCTGTTTTGGGGAAAGACTCAGGAATATGGAATTAACACCAGAAGTTGGGCAACATTTTTATGACAGTATGCCTGTTATAGGACAATGTGATGCATAAAAGTTTAAAGGTATGGGATTTCAGAGATGCAGCAAAATTTTGGGAAAACTGTCTTAGTAGAATGAAGGTTAAAGATATATGCAGCCATAAAAAAGGATGAGTTAATGCCCTTTGCGGAGACATGGATGGAGCTGGAAACCATCATTCTCAGAAAACGAATGCAAGAACCGAAAACCAAACACCTCATGTTCTCACTTATCAGTGGGAGTTAAACAATGAGAATACATGGACACAGGGAGGGGAACATCACACACTGGGGCCTGTCAGGGGATGGGGGACTAGGGGAGGGATAGCATTAGGAGAAATACCTAATGTAGATGACAGGTTGATGGGTGCAGCAAACCACCATGGCATGTGTATACCCATGTAACAAACCTGCATGTTCTGCACATGTGCTCCAGAACTTAAAGTATAATAAAAAAAAAGTTTCAGCAAATAAAAAAAGATTTATCTAACTTAAATTACTCCTGAGGAGTACAAAAAATCAACACTCAAGAAATAAAAACTATAGTTGAGTCTGTGTTGCCAATTTTTAACTAACAAAGAGGAGGTGCTGAACAGAGCATATCAGAAGGTAAGAGCCATGTAAAACCAGAATCAGCATATGTAAAAGGAAGGAAGATACTGGAGGATAGAAGTTTGGCTAATCATTTTGCAAGTGTCTTGGATAAATGCCATATTGACAAAAGAAATTTCCATTGTGTGTGCATATGTGTGTACACACACACACATATTACTAATGTGTATGTATATATTTATGAAATTTGGGACATTAGTAATGGTTTTTGATATGGTTTGGCTCTGTGTCCCCACCCAAATCTCATCTTGAATTACAATCCCCACATGTCGAGGGAGGGATCTGGTGGAAGGTGATTGGATCATGGGGGCCGTTTCCCCCATGCTGTTCTGACAGTAAGTGAGTTCTTCGGAGAGCTGAAGGTTTTAAAGTGTGGCACATTCCCCCTCATCCACTCTCTCTCTCTCCTGTCACCATGTGAAGAAGGTCCTTGCTTCCCCTTCACCTTCCAATGTGATTGTAAGTCTCCTGAGGCCTCCCCAGTCATGTGGAACTGTGAGTCAATTAAACCTTGTTCCTTCATAAATTACCCAGTCTCAGGGAGTATCTTTATAGCAGTGTGAAAATGGACATATCCATTTCTAGTGGAGTTTTACTATAATAATGATAACCAACACAAATTTACTGAAGGGAGCCAGATAATCTGATCAGTACCTGTGACACACAGCTCATTTGACTGAGGATATATTCCACAATTTCTGCCATATAATGAACAGATACACACTACTCTCTTCTAATATTAGTTAGTAATATGAAGATAAGTTATGTGTGCATTGACTTCTTTTTCTGCTTTAATCATAAATTCATTTAACTATTTCCCTAGGTATAGCATATGATATGGTGTACAAATCAGTGAGAATAAAATTACAAATGAAAGCAAAATTGATAACTCTGTCAGCCTCAAGAAATACCAAGATAATGAGCCAAGAGACTCTAATTAAAAACAATCCATTAAATTCATCTACTTATTCAACAAGTATTTACTGACACATGTGGGTACTCTGCTCATCTTAAATAATTAAATAAATAAATCGTCAAAACAGAATTATCAGTAGAGCTCCAACATACTAATCACTGCGGGATATTAGCTTGTCAAGAGATCTATTTTATATATTGTTTACTTATAAACATATGATACATGTACATGTATTTTATTGTTGGTAATACTTTACTATTTTTCAGAAAAATATAATAAGATGGGATATATTTAGCAGACAGAAATGGAGGGGCTGAGAAAGAAAAATTGTTAGTAGAAGAAATAGTGAAGAAACAAGTTACATACTTAAGAAATAATGGGAACATTAAAGGGGTGACACTTAATTTAGTCTGGCGCAAAGTGTGGAATCCCTCAGGAGAGATCAAACTGACTATTAGGTGAACAGTTTTGAGGGTCTGTATTTGTTCTTTCTGCAGTGGGTAATGAAGAGCTACTAAAGGTTTCCATGTAAGAGAGTGCCAACATTTATTTTATCATTCCAAGAGTCCTAAACAAAAAGATACAAATAGGCTGGGCACGGTGGCTCATGCCTGTAATCCCAGCATTTTGGGAGGCCAAGGTAGGTGGATCATCTGAGGTCAGGAGTTTGAGACCAGCCTGTCCAACATGGTGAATCCCCATCTCTACTTAAAATACAAAAATCAACCAGGTGTGGTGGTGGGTAATCCCGGCTACTCAGGAAGTTGAGGCAGGAGAATCACTTGAACCTGGGAGACAGAGGTTGCAGTGAGCTGAGATCATGCCATTGCACTCCTGGGTGACAAAGCAAGATTCTGTCTCAAAAGAAAAAAAAGAAACAAATAGTAGTCTAATAACATTAGGAATTATAAAAAGTAATGATGTTTTACAATAGTGTGTAAACAGTCTTGAACACGGAATTGAAAAGAGGTATATGCAATAAATGAGAGAAATGCTACAGAGGTAGGAACAAGAGGTTTTGCCAAATGATTGGCAAGTGATAGGAGGAAATCAATGGTGAGTGCATTTGCAAGACTGAGTGTCTGGGTTAAAGGCTACATCATTAATAAAAATAATGAAGTCAGGAGGAAGACGTACCGTGAATAGCGAATATAAACAGATATGAGTTGAGTATGATGAGATTGAGGTGCTTCTCAGAACAAAGATGTTATTCATGGAGTTGAAATTTTGAATAGAGATGTCAAAGATAATAATATGGATGTGAAGATCACTAACACGTATTTAAAACTGAGGCAGTGAGTTGGGCATTCAAAGAAAAAGATAGAAGGAAAAAAGGGTCAAGAACTGAGCTTTTGGATATCCCTAGATTTTAAAATAAGTCAAAAGATGAAGGGTCAAGAGAATAAAGACAAGAGTTAAGGGAGTTGCAAATCTGCAGAAATATAATTTCAAACAGAGGGAATTGTCAGTAGGGTCAAGAGAGACTGAGAAGACCAGGCAGGGGAGCTATGTAGGGAGAGGTGGGTTTATTGATTGGAACGTATCAGTCATGTTTGAGAGAGCTACTTAAGAGTAAGGCAGAGGGGGCTGTGCCGAGTTGAATGAGGAATGGGACAAATAATGAGGTGGAGGCAGCAGACAAAAACCAGTCTTTCAAGAAGTTTGTAATGGCAAGAAGACAGAGCTAATGTGATAATTCTAGGAGACAGTAGGATCAAAGGAAGGATTGGTTTGCTTGTTTTCTAATAGGAATGAGTTCAAGAAAGAAGAGGCTGAAGATGCTGAAGGGAGACAGAGTACAAATCTAGAAAAGGTGAGAGTGGATAGGAGGAAAGGCACAGTAAAGGCAATATTTAGGTACTGATTGAAGGAAGATTTTATTTTCTTAGGCAGAAGACAATTCTGACTAAAGATATGGACAATTTAGCAGTGTGAGAAGAACAGAGATTTGAATGAACTCACTTCAGATATCCTTGCACTCAGTAATGCAGGAAGTGAGGTTATAGTTTTCTTGAGCTTAAACTAAAACAAAAAATAAATAAATCAAGTACTCAATAAATAGCAAAAATTTCAGTTACTCTAATGCTGAAGAAAATCATGTTTCCTTCAAGGACATGGAAACTGCCTCTTAGAAGTGACAACTTGCTTTGCTTTTGTTGTGATAAAATTTACATCAAGCATATGCAAAACAATTGCAGTTCCAAGCAATGATCTTATAGCCTGATGGATGTAAGGGAAGCACCAAATATTACCAATAAGGCGTCTGCATGTGCTGCATGCATCTGACAGCTGGCTAGTTTGATTTAAAATTACAATTTGAACCGATATAGACTCTTATTTCTTGACAGTCATTAACCGAGAGCCATAAAAATGCCATTAATTCTGCAGTAGTCAGCAAAATACTTTATAATGATCTAACACTAATGTACCCCACTCCTGTAAAACCCCCATGGTGAGAAAGGTTTACTCTGTAATACTAGTTGGGTTTTCAGAAGCTTACAATTCCTGCCAATGCATCTGCTTTCCAGAAGATCATTAGGTAAAAATCCCAAGGCACCACAACCAACCTGGCTTTGGTTACCTTACTGTCTGGTAGAGAAGAAAATTAATGTTATTTGATGAGTCTCTCTCCCAAGATTGGCTAGTGTATAGTTACTGGACCAGCTGTCTGAGGGGCACTTGGGTCTGTTCTAAGCCGACCCAGCTCATTGTCTGCATGGATCCCAAGTCTCAACATAGCACACTAACACACCAACTGCAGCCTGCACCAGCTGTTACACTATTGTACAGGTACTTAACAGGATTACAGCACATGATTTGGCAGCAAGGACTTTGTTGTCCAACCAGCTTTATGGTGACTCTCACAGAAGCCATCCTACTTTTTAAACAGGCATAAAACCAAAACACCAGATATGAAACAGGTATTCAAGACAAGAAGCCCAGGAGAAAAGAAAGGCTCCTAATACAGGGTTATTGCTAAAGTCCATTTAACAAAGGATTTCTCTTTCACTCTCATTTCCTGTGGAAAATAATACAAATTAGCACAGGAAAATCCTACTTTATCTCTGAATGGAGTTACATAGCCTTAATCTGAAATCTGCTTTTCTTCTTCTGGCTACGAGAAGCCAAGCAGGGCATCCCATCAAATTGCAAGGGGAGATTTGTCACATTTGACTAGTTCTCAGGCTGTGGGTTGTCAGCTAGATGCTGATCTGAGACAGCAGTTACCCCCCAGCTGACACCTACACCCTACGCTGGTCACCCAACGATTCTTCTCCAGCCAAACCCTTTTCCCTTGGCTGCTGGTGAATGTGCTCAGGGAAATGGCAATAGATCAACACTTCCTTCATACATCAGAGCTCTCCTCCAAGGAGGACTGCAGGAAAATTGCTTTGTTTTACATAACAACAAACTCTGAAATTTCAGGGTAGAAAAGTAGCCACAGGCAAAATGTAGTGACTCTCACAGATTCTCCCATTTAACCATTTAAAATAGGACAAAGTCATGACTATTTAGAGAGATGAAGCTTGCTTTTAGATTTGCATAAAACATGATCACACATTTTTTTTAAGTTCAGATTTTCTTTTTAAACTAGGAATAAAACTACTTTAGGGCCATTTTTAAGGTTGGTATCTGTAGGTACTACCTCCTATTACTTCCTTGTTTTGATGTAAACTGGAATGCCTTTGTTAGTGTTTGAAAATGTATATCACAATACATTTCTTCCAGTTATGCTTTTCAGATAATGCACCAGCAGAATTGATAACAATGATTCATTTAGGATGACACTCTACTTTCAATTAATGTTCCGTAGAATGAAAACAATGTTTCCAAGTTTTTCAATTTAGATTTTAAAGCATGTTAGTATTTTTAAAAAGTGAATACATGCAACATCAATATACTTTTGTTGTTTGTCAATGTCAGTTATAAATTCAAATAAATGATAATCTGCTGCAGAAAGATGCTCATAGAAGCAGGAAAAATAATCCTATTAGAACTGCATAAATTCTACTTTGCATTTAATGTTCAGTATTTTTATAAAAATATACAAACCTGTAATTATACAAGTGGTATGTTGCATATGTAAGGCAAAGACGATTATTTGTTGCAAGGATAAACAATAAGACAATGAATTGGAGTTTGTGTTACATGGCTATCAAGGGAGTTAACATGTTAGACTGTTTGTCTATATATATATGAAAGTGTGGTGAAATCTTGAGACCCACACAATGTGTCTTCTCCCTTACAGTTCAATTCTCTCTATTTAACCAACATACACTGTATAGTCTTGCCATTCTACAACATTCTCATGCACTTCTGGTCATATTATTTCCTCTACCTTTAATACCATCACCTATCTGAGAATGCAAAGTTTACCAGTTCTGTGAGCTTTTCTCTTCTTTCTGAGGCAGAATCAAGTGCCTCCTCTCTATACTTTCTCACTACTTTGTAATTATTGCTATAATAGGAGTTCTGACATTGCATCCTTAGTGGCCTGCTGTATTGCAACATCTTGGAGTACAAGCATCATCTTTGTGTTCCTGGCGTCTTGAATACTGCCTGGTACACAACAGAAATTCAGTAAGTACTGATGGATGACTGAATGAGAAATGTGAAACTAAAATAGTGGCTAAATTAAGGAAGAACATCATCATATAAATCTCCTAAACTATTAGCATTGTCAATGATTTTGACAATTGTCCTCCTTGAAATTAGGTAATGCTATTCAGTTTGTGCTAGCAATGGCACTTACCAAATTTTCTCTGGCCAAAGATGGCATTGCCTATAAAACATCTGGCAATTTAATATCAGCTTGGTGAGAGGAAGGAAACACTATGACATTAAAGACATGTATGAATTACAAGCCTTTTAAAAAACATTTCCAAAAATGTTAAAAATATCTAAAGATGTGTTTCTTTAGATTTGAGGAAATATGGCAATTTCCTTTCCGAGTAAGAATATCAGGAAATCATAACTGACCAAGCTATGGAATTCTTCTGAACATTCCAAATCTAAAAGCCATAAACAGAGGTTACCTCTTTAGTTGTATTACAAACATAAAATAAGGCTATCATACAGAAAGTCAAATTCCAGTTTCTTTAAGAACCTATTCTTTAGATGCTTTTATCACTAAATTTAAACATAAAGGCATATGATGATTTTAAGTAAGGAGTATTAAGGTAGTGTTCTGGGGAAAGTTTACACATATTTGGACTCAGCTGGAGTACCCTGCTGCAGTATCTAAGAATAGACCAAATCCTACACATACTTCAGAACCAACTTGAACAAAACTAGAACATCTACCCAGGGAAGAAAACCAATTCATTCCTTGTAGCAACCGCCTGTGGCTAAATCTGTCCAAATTTCTAGCTGTATATAAAAATAAATGTCGAGAAAAGTAAAAGACCATTTTCTTTTTTTCTTTAGATGGAGTTTCGCTGTTGTTGCCCAGGCTGGAGTGCATTGGTGCGATCTCTGCTCACTGCAACCTCCGCCTCCTGGGTTCAAGCTATTCTCCTGCCTCAGCCTCCCGAGTAGCCTCCTGAATAGGATTACAGGTGACTGCCCCCACAGCTGGCTAATTTTTTTTTGTATTTTTAGTAGAGACAGGGTTTCACCATGTTGGCCAGGCTGGTCTCAAACTCCTGACCTCAGGTGATCCACCGGCCTCAGCCTTCCAAAGTGCTGGGATTACAGGTGTGAGCCACTGTGCCTGGCCAAAACCAAATGTTTTTAATCAGAAAGAAAGTCCTTCTTTCGCCATTTTTTTGTTTTCAGAAAGAGGAAAAAGATTCTCTTATTTACAACAGAAGAAAAATGTTACCTCTAAAATAAAAATTTACTTACCACACTTTAAACTACAGTGGATGTATGTCTACAGAGAAAGGAACAAATATGAACATAAATTTTGTACACTTGCTCACATTTTAATTCAAATCCTCTTTTTCAATTTACACTATGTTTATGTCCTCAAATTTTAATGGCATGATTTGGGAAAAATATTTGTCAATCTCAGAGGAAATATTTGGGTCTCTATCAATCACACAGTTGTAAAGTCATGGAAGAAAACTGAAATATGGTTTTGCTTCTAGGTCCTGTGTGTCCTAGCTAGACTTAGTCTGTTTCATTCTATTTAAAATTTAAAATGAATGTAAAGTATACACATATTATATTCACAAGCATGAAAATAAGACAAAACTTAGAATAATTCTATTTCAAGAGTCAAGATCTTGATTATCTAACTAAATAAGCAGATAGTAAAATGTGACATATTCAGCACATTCCTCCCATGATAAATTACCCTTTGCAAAACTGAAAGACATACTGTAACTCAATGTTAAGGTTGCTATGGCAAAGCATGCCTTCTGGACACAATTTCTCATTTCCAAATAATTATGTTTTATCTACCATAAGGTAACCAATTTCTTCCTTTAGATACGGAAGAAAAACATTTCTATACTTAACTACAATACTTCCCCAAAGTCTGAATTTCACCAAAATGTTGGATGCTTTACAACAAAGATTGTTAGCTTTTAGAAATTTGACAGGGTCAATATTTTCCTATTCATAGGCCAAGATGTTTGTTCATTCAATTTTTATTTATATATGGGTAGTATATACTGCTATACTCTAGGAGGAAAAAGTAAATTCTGAACCAGTAACTGAATATTACAATGATATGTATATCTTTGTTATATATATATAACATTTATTACATATATTATATATTACACATATATTTGTAATATATATTATTTCATATATATAATAAATTTCCATTGACTTTTCCTCCTAAATATATTTCAATTCCACCCATATGTCTACATTTTTTATTGTATCCAACTAGGCTGCAATTAGTGTCATCTCTTAACCGAACAGCACAAAACTGGTCTCATATATCCTGCCCCCTTCCAACACTTTCCACAAGTTCTCTATGGCTCATCTCAATGGAGGTATATTTTAATATACAAACAGGATCATACTACATCCCTGCTTTAAATCTGTATTGAATTCCTGGCTGTCTTAAGGTCAAATACCTGAATCCATAACATTGTTTGCAATGTCCAGCATGATTAGAACCTCTCTTTCCAGCCTGAGCTCATACTGCTCATTTTCAGTCACCAGCTTTCATTCAGTTCTTCACATGTGCTCTTCCCTTGACTCTGCTATCTCAGGGCCTTTGGCTCTGCTAGTCCCTGTGAATAAAGAACGCTTCTCTTTGTCTTGTAAATGCCTACTCATTTTACTATGACACTTCTGGGACACCTTTCCTCTGGCTCAAAATGATATTATTTGTTTGCTACACATCTTTGTAGCATTTTATATTTTTCCATCATGGTAGTTATCATAGTTTTAATTATTTTTGTAAAAATTTCATATATGCTTATCTGCTTCACTAAGTAAGCTCTTTTTAGTTTTTAGGTTTTAGATATTAATAATTTTTTTAATTTGAAGATGGTTGTACATTATTTATTGGAAGACATCCGTCTTTGTTTTCCTTCTTTCTTTTCCTTTTTATACTTTTTATTTTTTTCAGACAAAAATAAAGGGAAAATAATTTTTAAAAATGAACAAAATTGCTGAGAAATACGAGATTATGTAATTATGTAAAGTAACAAAACTTACAAATTATTGGCATTCTTGAGAAATAAAGAGAAAAAGTAAACAGCCTGGAAGACATATTTGAGGAACCAATTCAAGAAAATTTCCCTAATCTTGCTAGAGAAGTAGACATCCAGATGCAAGAAATCCAGAGAACACATTCCAAATACTATACAAAATGAGCATCACCAAGGCATATAGTCATCAGACTGCCTAAGGTTAATGCTAAAGAAAAAAATCTTAAAGGCAGCTAGAGAAAAAGGTCAGGTCATGTGCAAAGGGAGCCCTGTCAGGCTAACAACAGACTTCTCAGCAGAAACCCTACAAGCCAGAAGAGACTGGGGGCCTATTTTCAGCATTCTCAAAGAAAAGAAATTCTAACCAAGAATTTCATACCCTGCCAAACTAAGTGAGTAAGTGGAGAAATAAATTTTTTTTCAGACAAGCAATCATTAAGGGAAATTATTACCACTAGACCAGTCTTACAAGAGAATCTTAAGGGAGTTCTAAACATGGAGTTGAAAGAATGATACCTGCTACTACAAAACCACACCTAAGTACATAGCCCACAGATTCTTTAAAATAACCACACAATAGAAACTATGAAACAACCAACTAACAACTTCATGGTAGGATCAAAACCTCATATATCAATATTAACCTTGAATGTAAACGGTCTTAACACCCCACTTAAAAGTCAGAGAGTGGCAAGTTGGATTAAAAAAACAAGACATAGCTATCTGCTGTCTTCAAAGGCTCATCTCACATATAAGGGCACCCATAGACTCATTTTTAATTTAAAAAATTTAAATTGACAATAATAATTGTACATATTTATTCAGTACACAATGAATAAACATTATATGTGCTGCAACACATATAATGTATAGGGATCATATCAGGATAATTAGCACGTCCGTCATCTTAAACATTGATCATTTCTTTGTATGGGGAACATTCAATCCTCCTTCTAGCTATTTGAAACTATATAGTATAGTATTATTAACTATAGTCATCTTACAGTGGTATAGAACACTAGAACTTATTCCTTTTATCTAGCTATATCTCTTATATACTTTAACAAATCCCTCCCTATCCCCTGTTTCTCCCTGTCCTTCCCAGCCTCTAGTGCCTTCTGTTTTACTTTTTAATTGCATGAAAATATTCTTTTAGCTCCCACATATGAGTGAGAACATATGATTTTTAACTTTCTATTCCTGGCTTATTTCACTCAATATCATGTCTTCCAGTTCTATCCACGTTGCTGTGAATGACAAGATTTTGTTCTTTTTTATGGCTGAATAGCATCCCATTATGTATGTATACCACATTTTCCTTATCCATTCACCATTGTTGGACATCTAGCTATGACTATTCTTTTCTTTTTTTTCAGATGGAGTCTCACTCTGTTGCCCAGGCTGGAGTGCAGTGGCATGATCTCGGCTCACTGCAGCCTCCACCTCCCAGGTTTAAGTAATTCTTGTGCCTCAGCCTTCTGAGTAGCTGGGATTACAGGCACATGCCACCACATCTGACTAATTTTTGTATTTTTAGTAAAGATGGGGTTTCACCATGTTGTCAAGGCTGGTCTCTAACTCCTGACCTCAAGTGATCTGCCCACCTCGGCCTCCCAAAGTGCTGGGATTACAGGCATGAGCCACCATGCCTGGCCTAGTTATGGCTATTATAAAATAGATATTGAGGATTTAGATATTTTACTTCCCCTTCAGCATTTGGTATTCATTGTTCTATCGCAGTTTTTATTTAAATCAATATTTAGTAATTATATCATCTTAACTATGTATATATGATTCATAGCCACATCATGTGAAACATTCTGATTATATTTCATTTCTTATACAATGTCTTGTTTTCCCTGGAGTTAATATTGACCGTCCTTTTTGTTTGTTTACTGAGTATTTATCTATACATCTTTGCAACAGAGACTGATAAATGTCACCTGTTATCACCCGTCTCTCCTTCCAAAGAAAGAGAACTCCCAACTTTTAACCTGGCACATGATTACCCAAAATGAAGACTCCATATATCAGCCATGGCCAAGTTTCTGACCAATGAGATGTAAGTAAAATGTCATGTGGCAATTCCCAGGAGCCTTCCTGAAATCACTTCTCGCTCATGCCCTTTGCTAGTTTTTCATCATCACCCTTTTCTCCTTCGTGCTGTCTTTCCAACAGAAATAAAACAGACACGACTGGATGTGAAACAGTCATTTGGACCATGAAGTGACCTTGGAAAAGGAAGCCAGGTATGTCTGTGCACATTGTTCAAGGGGGTCTACGACTGCTACATTACATATAAAATTGTACTTAACATATATCCAGATAGGTGGGAAAAATCTACGGGAATTATCAGAGTTTCAATGAGTGGACCCTTACTCTAAAAATATTAATTGAAGTTTATGTAATGCAATCTGTTTATTTTACAAGTAAGGAAACTGCCCTAGACATATACCTTGCCTTAACTAAGATCATATATAAATGTATAGCAGACACCGGAGTAGACCTGATTTGACTTGACTAGACCAGACTTGGCCCTCTTCTCTAACCTTTCTTCTCAACTTCTTTATCTCCCTCTGTCAACAAGAAGAGTTCTTCTTAGCTATAACTACCTGGAAGAAAAAGTTGCTGATCACATTGAGAACTGAAATTAATAGCAGAAGAAAGTGAAGAGTGAAGAATATAGCTGCTCTATTTTGTTTACTACAGGGCCTTGTAAAGAATTAACTAGGTTTAAATGAAATGCCTTTTGATGTATTTTACTTGAAATAGCATTCTTGCTTCAATTAAGCAGTCCCCAGAAAAGCAATAACACGGTAGGATCAAATAAGCCAGAATTTGCTTATCCTCCAAGTTCTCTGGCGTGCTAAAAAGTCAAACTCAGGATGCAATATCTGTGCTTTTGTTGATGAGTGCCCAATAAACAAGGAACTCTGAATCAATTGAATTTTTTGTCTTTCAGCTGGTGAGAGAAGTCAGTCTGATCAATGACAGTTCTCACTCACAGGTGCAAGTTGTACTAATCTAACCCATGACTAAAGCAGAGAAACCTAAGGGGAGGTGGTGTGTCTCTAAGGTGGCACATGGGACTGCCATCTTTCTCCTTCCTTTTCACTTTTCCTTTCTTAAATGGAAAGATGAAGGAAGTGGGGCTAGAAATGAAGACTAGTACTACAAATAGGAGAGCTGTACTTATATCTGGGGGTAACAGTGGTTTTATTTGTTCTAACCTTCTAGGCATTAGGTTGTAAAACTTATGCTAGGCTGGGCACGGTGGCTCATGCCTATAATCCTAGCACTTTGGGAGGCTGAGGCAGGAGGACTGCTTAAGCCCAGGAGTTTGAGACCAGTCTGGACAACATAGTGGGACACTATCTTTACAAATAAAAAAAAAATATATATATATATATATATTTTAAAGCTCAGTGTGGTGGCACGTGCCTGTGGTCCTAGCTATTCGGGAGCCTGAGATGGGAGGATTGGTTGAACCTTGGAGGTATGGGCTGCAGTCAGCCTTGATCACACCACTGTACTCCATCCAGCCTGAGTGACACAGTAAAACTCTGTCTCAAAATAGAAAATATCCCCCAAAACCTACGCTTCACTTGCTACAAATTCCTAAGCAGATTTGAGTAACTCTTTCTCAGGTATCTCTGCACCCAACGGTGAGAAAAGGCATTTCGTCATGTTATGTAATTTCATCCTGACAACAGCCCTTTCACTTTTAAAGATGAGGAAATTAAGGCTGAGACAGGTTTAACAGTTAGAGCCATTAAGCCAGAGTGGGATTCCCAATTAAATCATTCTTTTCAATGCAGCATTCTTCCTCCTGGATGGGGTACCCAACAAAATATACTTTGGATTCTAAATGCTAAAGAAAAGACTGCACCATCTAAACTGTGAATATAATATAATATTTTAGCATTTCACTTCAGCCTGGCCCAAAACAATATCAGAAGGCTCAATAGTAAAATGGTTGCACAGTAGATATGTTAATTATAGCATTGCCTATGATAAGGAAGTCTTAGTTGCAGCTTATATTTAAAGGCAGACTTATGCACAAGTTTCAGAATATTCATCTTTACCGTTGTAATTATTTTACGTGTACGTATGTATGTATGTATCTGTGAGTATGTGTATTTCCCAGCATATGAGAATATGAAAGCTTTTAGGAAATATTTATTGCTTATGATTTCTAAGCAAATACACTAAAGAAGGCGAGACATGACCATGCCAAACAGAACATGAAAAATCGTGTTAGAAATTATTCTGGGAGAAATCATATATGCTATTGTTCACATTTTTAAAATGTTTCATTTTCTCAAAAAGATAAAATGTTGAAATAGAGGTGTATATGCTGGTATGGGTTGAATTATGTCCCTCCAAAAAATATGTTGAAGTCCTAACCTCCAGTGCCTCAGAATGTGATCTTCTTTGAAAACAGGGTTATTGCAGATGTAATTAGTCAAGATGAGGTCATACTGGTTTCTGATCCAATAGGACTGGTGTCCATATAAGAAGATAGCCCTGTGAAGACACAGACTCAGAGAGAATTCTAATATGGAGATGGAAACAAAATCTGTAGTCATGCTGCTCCAAGCTAAGGAATACCTGGGGCTACCAGAAGCTCGAAGAAGCAGGAGAAGTTCCTCCCTAGAGGCTTCAGAGAACATGACATCTGACACATTGATTTCAGTTGGCTGACCTTCAAAGCGATGAGGTGAATTTCTGTTGTTTTAAGCCACCCAGAGACAGCCCTAAGAAATTAATGCACATGCTAATACTAGTTTTCTCTAAGTTTCATTGAGAATATTGAAAAATATATATTTAAATATCTGGATCTTATTGAGAATACAAAGAAGACTTTCATACGTTGGTATTTCTGAATCTTCATTTATAAAGTGTTAAATAACTTATGCCCAAAAGAAAAAATCGGTCAGAAATTACCTCATATCAGTAAGTTCTATAGTAAAGGAATAAATGCATCTAAGAATGACACATGAAATATTTCTCCTCAATGCTCCTGTAACACCCTATGAATCCCTCTGTCTACTTATCTTTTTCCCCAAAGGACTGGGAAGAACTTGAGGATAGATACCTTGTTTTCTTTTTTTTTGGGAATTTTGCACCTACCAGAGTGCCTGGGGATCTGGTCAAGACTCAATAACTATATGTCCCAAGTGAATAAATGAAGGAATAATAAAATAGCATAGATGTTAACCCTTAAAAAATCTAGAAATAAGAGGTATTTAAAATAAGAGGTATTTTTGTTTTCTAAAAGTATGATAAATTCCCTTTATTTACAGGTTATATTAATATGACTTTAAAGAGACATTTTATCATCTTCAACTCTTATCATAGTTCTTATCTCTATTGTTACATTTAGAAATATAATCAATCTCCTCTTTTAAAATGCATTCCATAACAGTAATAGTTTTGCCTATGATACCACTTGGATTCTACTTACATATCTGAGTAGGTTGGAAAATGTGTAGATGTTTTTAAAGGAAAAGAACAGAAGTTTTCATTTTTCATTCAAGCAAGCATTAATAATAAAAATGAACATCTTCTGGCCCCAAGAGTAATAAGGAGAAAGAAAAAGGGGGAGAAAGAGAGCAAGAGAGTGCGAGAGAGTGAGAGAGAGAGCGCAAGAGAGACAGAGACAGAGAGAGAGAGAGAAGACAGAGAGAGAGAGAGAGAGAGAAATGTTTAGGAAGGAGAAAGGAAGAAGAAAAATAGAAAAATAGTTTCTTCATTTATTCAACCAGATCTTTGAAAATTTTACAAGAACATCATATTGTTTTTTGGAAAAATATATAAAATTCCGATTTCCAAAGTCTTCAGCAGACCTCCAGTTGTAAGAGAAGCCATATAATCTTTCCATCTTCTGTGCTCATATTCAGCATAGCTCTTTAGGGAACTATTCCTCCTTTGAATAAAATACCATTTTCACTTCAGAAGACTTCATCTCTTATGTTGAAAATGATGATGTTTTAATCAGCTCCCCCACACTTCCACTTTGAGAAAACTTGGACTCTGGAAACTTGCAGAAAGGGAGCTCCACTATGTGTACTTTACCCAGAGCAGCTTAAAATAAAAACCTGTTGTGCTAAAAGGAAAGCAATTTACAAACATCTTTATCGTTCTGTTTCAGAACACTTCTAAATTAAAAACAATAAGCTTTTCATAATGCATGAATCAGTATCTTCTAAATGTTTCCACGAAGGTGAAATATTCCTTTCTTTATAGAATACAAAATGCTTAATTTTTCTCTCCTACTCACTTTCTTGGTCTTAGTTTAACATGCTTTCTTATTTGTAATATCCATTTCCTGAAATTATTTCTGACATTTTTTTCTAGTTGATAAACACTGTCAAGGTAATTATTAAGTGTATATTTCTCTACTCAGCTAACTCGCCTTATTATCAAACATCACACTCTAAAAACTAATTGTATGTTAAGTCAACGGGCTGCATGTTTAAGAATTTTAATTACTTTTCTATGATCACTTTATATTCTGTACATAACATCCAGGTAACACAGCTTCTACGATGATAAGCAGTTTAATTAGAAAGCTTAGATAAGAAAAATGCCTTTTACGTTACCAAATTTGTTCATGCCAGTTGCGTGATAACTTGGACTCATCTTTTCTCGCAGAATTTAAAAATGTGAAATGTTAATATTAGGTGAACCTTACTTCTTAACAGTCTAGCAAATGCTTGATTAATATGCCATTTGTTTTTTTTTTTTCTCTTTTGTACATGTAAACACTGCAGTTGTAATTAGATTGCAAAACTGAACCTGCCTTTAATCTTTGTGCCAGTCCAAACAAACAAGTTTTTTCTCACACTCCTAAGCTGGCACGAGAATCACAACAAATAGACGCAAATGTAAGCTGTGAGCTGCCAATAGCATGCTTGCCCTTTCCACAAACTGTCTCAGAGGATCGCCATTGATTTCCTAGTTATTATGAACATGAAATTATTGAATGACAGATGATAGAGTGTTAGGTCCTACAAGTATTTTCCCAAATGGGTTATCCAGCCAGGGTTGCCATGGTAACTATGCTGTTTGACAGACCTTCCCACAAAGAACCCTTTGCTCAGAATTCAGCATCAAATAGCTCTCTGCTTACTACAGGCTCATGTTAAAACACAGAACTTAGAAGCCTTCTTATAAAGAAAGGAAGGGTTTTCTTGCTAGCTAAGTCCACTCCATTATCCAAAGTACTAGCCTAAAATGACGGTGAGATATTATAGGTCAGTATTATCCCCAAGTGGATGAGGACTTTGCCAAGGGCTGAACCTTGTACTATTAATAAAGGCAGTGTTAATTCACAGAAAATAAATGAATAGTTCTGAGAGCATAAGGTCCATGGGGACTATAAGTTCTTTATCATAACACACAGCTCATTAGGAGGAACAATGCTCATCAATCAGGCATTTCTTGAACACCTAAAGGTTGTAGCATTTCTTGTCAGTGCAATATTCAAACTATGAACATGGGTTGGGATTGCATTTTTCTCTTTCTTTTGTTGGTGCCACACACACATGGGAAATAACATTTTCAAATTAGAATTGTCTTTTTTTTTTTTTTTTTTTTTTGAGACGGAGTTTCACTCTTGTTGCCCAGGCTGGAGGGCAATGGCACGATTTTGGCTCACTGCAATCTCCGCCTCCCAGGTTCAAACGATTCTCCTGCCTCAGCCTCCCGAGAAGCTGGGATTACAGTAGTAGAGTTGAGGTTTTGCTATGTTGGTCTGGCTGGTCTCGAATTTCTGACCTCAGGTGATCTGCCCGCCTCGGCCTCCCAAAGTGCTGGGATTACAGGCGTGAGCCACCGTGCCGGGCCTGAATTGTCTTTTTAAGCAATGCATTTTTAAGGGTAATTTCTCTAGTTGATAGGTCTCTTCCTCAATTTGGGGTTCACATTCAACAGATTGATAATGAGAAGTCATAAGTTGGATTGATCAAGATGAGTTGTCCCGAATGACTGTAAAACAGTAATTTCACATCAGAACAACAAATTGAGGACATCACAGTAGCTTGGTAATGACGTAAGGAGCCATCCTCCTGACAACAGTAGGCGTTGATTTTTTCTTTTATACATTTTTTTGTTTCGTTTTCAACCAAACTGTTTTATTTTTCAACTAAATGTGTCATTTCCTCATTTTCTTTTCTTCTCACTAAATATAACATTGCTCTTAGTAAACACTGTGGAAATTAAAGAGCTTTAATATTGTTACTTGTTAGACTTATCTAGTACTTGTATTTTAGTCTTTAGGCAGAATCATCACTCAAAAAAAAGCAGAAATTAGGTTAAATTTTGGATACATTTAATGTTTTTTATTATTGAAATATTTTGGTTTTTTTTAGTTTTAAATATGTATTTATTTATTTTGGATACAGAGGGTACATGTGCTGGTCTGTTACATGAGTATATTACACCCAGGTAGTGAGCATAGTACTCAACAGGTAGTTTTTCAACCCATGTTTCCCCTGCCCCCCACCCTGCTGTAGTATTCTGCAGTGTCTATTGTTCCAACATTTATGTTCACATGTGTTCAATGTTTAGTTCCCAGTTATAAGTGAGAACATGTGGTATTTGGTTTTCTGTTTCTGCATTAATTTGCTAAGGACTATGGCCTCCAGCTCTACCCATGTTGCTGTGAAGGACATGATTTCATTCTTCTTTATGGCTGTGTAGTATTCCATGGTGTATAGGTACCACATTTTCTTTATCCAATTCAGTACTGATCCGCATTTAGGTTGATTACATGTCTTTGCTCTTGTGAATAGCATGGCAATAAATACATGAGCGCATGTGTCTTTTTGGCATAATGATCTATTTTCCTTTGGGTATATACCCAGTAATGAAATTTCTGGGTCAAATGGTAGCTCTGTTTTCAGTTCTTTGAGAAATCTCTTAACTGCTTTCCCCAGTGGCTGAACTGATTTACATTCATACCAGTAGTGTGTAAGCATTTCGTTTTCTCTGCAGCCTTGCCAGCATCTGTTGCTTTATGACTTTTTAATAATAACCATTCTGACTGGAGTGAGATGGCATCTCATTGTGGTTTTGATTTGCATTTCTCTGATAATTAGTGATGACAAGCATTTTTTCATATGTTTGTTGGCTGTTTGTATGTCTTCTTTTGAGAAGTGTCTGTTCATGTCCTTTGCCCATTTTTTAATATGGTTGTTTTTTTGCTTGTTGAATTAAGTTCATTATCGATTCTGGTTATTAGACTTTTGTTGGATGCATAGTTTGTGAATATTTTCTTCCATTCTGTAGGTTGTCTGTTTACTGATAGCTTGTTGTGCAGAAGCTCTTTAGTTACTAGGTCCCACTTGTCAATTCTTATTTTTTTTGCAATTGCTTTTGGGGACTTAGCCAAAAATTATTTGTCAAGTCCAATGTTGAGAAGGGTGTTTCCTAGGTTTTCTTCTAGGATTTTTATAGTTTGGGGTATTACATTTAAATCTTTAATTACTTTTTGTATATGGTAAAAAGTAAGGGTACAGTTTCATCCTTCTTCAAATGACTAGCCAGTTATCCCAGCATCATTTGTCGAATAGGGAGTCCTTTCCCCATTGCTTGTTTTTTTGGTCTTGTTGAAGATTAGATGTAAGCGTATGACTTCATTTCTAAGTTTTCTGTTCTGTTCCATTTGTCTATGTGTCTGATTTTGTAACAGTACTATGCTCTTTTTTTTTTTAGTATAGCTTGAAATTGGGTAGTGTGATGCCTCCAGCTTAGAATTGCTATTCATGCTCTTTTTCAGTTCGGTATGAATTTTAGAATAGTTTTTTTTTCCAGTTCTGTGAAGAATGATATTGGTAGTTTGATAGGAAGTACATTGGATCTGTAAATGGCTCTGGGCAGTATGGCCATTTTAATAATAGTGATTCCTCTAATCCAAGAGTGTGGAATGTTTTTCCATTTACTTGTGTCATCTCTGATTTCGTTCAGCAGTGTTTTGTAGTTTTCCTTGTATAGGGCTTTCACCTCCTTGGTTAGCTGTATTCTTAGGCATTTCATTTCCTTTGTGGCTATTGTAAAGGAGATTGTGTTTTTGAATTGACTCTCAACCTGGACGTTATTGATGTATAACTCTCTGGGAACTTTTATCTCTGTGCTCCAATGGCTTTGGAATTTCTTTCACACTCTCTCATAGATGCCATGCTACTCGCATTTCTATGGCCATGTTTACAGTTGGTCTTCCGAATCCATGGGTTTTGCATCTGTGGATTCAACCAACCGCAGATCGAAAATATTTGAAAAAATAACAATACAAAAATTAAAAATAATTTAAATAAAAATGATACAGCATAACAACTATGTATATATCATTTACATTGTATTAGGTATTATAAGTATTCTAGAGATGGTTTAAACTATGTAGGAGGATGTGCATTGGTTTTATGCAAATACTATGCCATTTTATATAAAGAACTTCAGCATCAGCACGTTTTGGTATCCCTGAGGGTTCCTGCAGCCAACACCCCAATAGATACCAAGGGACAACTGTACTCCCTTCTTATCACATATGGCTTACTGCAAATTATCTTTCTACTTATCCATTTATTGGGTTTATATTTTGTTTGGTATTGCATTTTTTTGTGATTTTTAGAATTGCATTTCATATGCCTGGTACTAAAAAGTAATTAACAAATATTTTGAATGAATAAATTGTGTGCTAGTATTGAATAAAATTTACCTAACATTTCAGGAGACTCTAGTAAAGATTCTCTCTCACTTATTGTCAGAAAAACAATCTCATGATTGTTCTAATTGAAATGTAAAGCCAAACTTTTCAGTGAGGACTGAAATATGCTTACTCTTTCCTGTCATCCCAACCCCCACAAGAACCAACTGCGTATTTCTAGTACATTTATTGGCTTAACATATAAAGAGAATATTCTGTAACTCTTAGGATCCAAAACCTTGGAGTGAGGGGCATATGTGATTTACCTGGAACACTTTTTCAAAACAGCCGAAATATTTCCTTCCCCATCTCTCACGTTCCCGATGGAAATAGCTTATATTCACCATGTATTTGGGGGAGCAAAAGAGGTTTCAAAATTCATTTTTCTAATTCTACTGTTACAAATGGTCTTTCCAGCTCACAGCTATGTTTTACAATTGAAGTTATGATACGAGAGGGTAGACATGAAAATCAGGGCAAAAAAACCAGCCAAACGAAAAAGAGCAGATATTTTCCCAAACTTTCACCCCGAGGTTTCCTAGCCCCTGGGGCTCAGTATTAAATGTGTGGGGGGAATCACAAGTTCTCATCACATCGCTGGATGGTAATATGCTGCCTATTGCTATGAAGCTGGGTTTAATTCAAATGAATGAGCAGGAGGAAGACACTCCATTAATTCTGAATTTTTAAAAGTTATTATGGCTTCCCTTTTTAGACTTCTAGAAACAGGAACAATTACAAATCTGGCTTGAATTATTAAGCGATGAGTCACCCAACAGTGAGATCTAAGTTATCATGAAATATATCAATTCCCTAAATTTGATACCACGATATTAGCTTCTCTTTGCAATTTAGCTCACGTTACACACAAAACACTGTGCCAGGTGCTGTGTGGACAAATAAGACATAAGACGCTGACGCTGCCCTCAAATAGCTTAGTTTTTTATTTGTTTCTTTTGGATTGTTTTCTTATACAAAACAGAAAATAACTTTTTTTTACCTCTAATCAATCATAAGTAAAAATCACTGGTGATTCTGACTTTTGAAGAGAGTATATATATGTATATACTCAGTATATATATATATATATATGTATATACTCAGTATATATATATATATATATATATATACTCAGTATATATATATATATATGTATATACTCAGTATATATATATATATATATATATATACTCAGTATATATATATATATGTATACACTCAGTATATATATATATATACACACAGCGTATATATATATATATATACACCCTGTGTGTATATATATATATACACACAGAGTGTGTATATATATATATATACACTGTGTGTGTATATATATATATACACACTGTGTGTATATATATATATACACAGTGTGTGTATATATATATATACACACTGTGTGTATATATATATATACACACAGTGTGTGTATATATATATACACACTGTGTGTATATATATATATATACACAGTGTGTATATATATATATATACTCAGTGTGTGTATATATATATGTATACTCAGTGTGTGTGTATATATATGTATACTCAGTGTGTGTGTATATATATATATACTCAGTGTGTATATATATATATATACTCAGTGTGTGTATATATATATATATATATATATATACTCAGTGTGTATATATATATATATATTTCTTTTTTTTTTTCTTTTCCTGCTCCAGGGGTGGGAGGAGTGGGAAGAAGTTACAAGTGTGGTGAGGGAGCGCCACATCCATAGGGTGCTTTTATGCTGACCTCAAGGGATAAACAGAATCTTTTACATGAAGAGAGAGAAATGAGGGTGGAGTCTTGTAGGAGAGGGGCACAGAATGTACAAGGCCCTGAGGAATTTAATGCTTCACACAACGAAGAGGGGGAATCATTTTTGGCTGTTTTGGCACGGTCTGGGGAGAACTCTAGGAGATTAAAGATGGAGACTGGGGACAGATTATAGTCTTTTTGTGACATTCTACGGAATTTGGACTTCATCTTGCAGATAATGTTGCTGTGTTTATGTTGGAAAGGAAAGATTCTGCCAATACCAGAGAGGCTAGACTGAACAACCAACAGGAAACGTATTATAACAAGGTAGATAAAGTATGGAAGCATTTGCACAAAAGTGAAGACTAGAATGGCAAAGAAGAGATGGATTCAAGAAGCCCTATGAAGGTAACAGTCTGGATCGGTGAAAAAGGTTGAGGCAAGCGAGGAAGAAACTGAGGAAGATTCTGAGGTTGCTGACTCGATAATTAATGGATAGTAAATGCAAGTGAAGAGAGCATTTTATAAATTACACATTCATAGTAAACTATTAAATTTAGTATACAGCACAATGTAAGTGCAACTTTAAAAGAAAACTGAAACATGCTTATTAGATATGTTAGAGAAATTGATGTTACTTTTATGAGCTACTGGAGAGAAACTTTCAGTTTTAAATAGCTTAGTTCTCAGTAGACATTCATTGTTTCCTGAATGAGGGAAATGGTACAATTTATTCATTCGGCTATGGGCATGCAAAATGTTAAGTTGGTGACAATTTGTATCTTCGTGGGTATTTTTAACTTACTTAGCAAGCAGATTAAGGGAATAAATTATTAGGCAAAACTTGTAACATTTACACAGAAAATTTCAATTGTCTGTAAGTGGATTTTTGCTATATACCAGGTACATTATGATTAGTCACCTCTTTGAAAGGTAAACATTTAAGTAATGAGAAAGAATTTTTAAAATGCTTCAACATGAAATGAATGAGAATGCCAACTACATCATAAAATCCAGAATTTTAACAATACAATCCAAAGCCAAATAACAGTCAGGATTCAGGCCTACCTCAAAAATGCAAAGGATATAAATGCAGGGAAAGCAAAGGAGGGCTAATTTTGGCCAAGTTGGCTATATTTCCCTGGAATGAAGTTAGCTACTTGAACATTTTTATAAAAAGATGTTTTACATGACTTGTAAAGCAACATCTGTTCCTAAAGGCACTTTTATAGGATAAGTCTTAATGAAATTATTTTTCATTGAGGGCTAGTTTAGATTCTACTGTAAGAAAGACCTGAATGATGCACTAGGGCAGTTTTATGGAGTTGTCTTCCCCTGACTACATCCCCCCACTCACTCCATATTTCTCCCTCTAGCTGAAAGCTGTAAACATTTTAGGGCTTTGTGATAGTCCCAGAACAAAACAGAACATATGTAGTATATTTTCATATGAGAAGAAAAAAAACCCAAACCCATGAGGTCCTAATTTCTAAAGTATGCCTTCTGCCCAAAATGCACCCTTGATGGTGCCTCGAAAGTGTTGCAAATCACTTAACACAAATTATTCAGATTTAGATGAATCTGAAGCCCCATCAGAAGAATATTAGTGGACTATTTCACATGGAGCCCAATTATATGATTTCTATATCATTCCCTGACTACCCACTAAAATTTTGCTGATATTAGCCTATCCAAAATGCCTTTCCAGGATTTAAGTACCAATAGTGTCTATTACAAAATTCATCCGTGGTTTCTGTCAGATTTCAGTTAAATGCACAACAGGGAGAAAAAGCTGCTAGAAAACTGCAGATTCCATGGATAAAGAAACAAAGAGATGTATTGTGTATTGCTCTCATATTCTTGCAACCAGCACCTGAGTTATCTGATGACTGCTTCATAACTGAAGGCTGCTGCAATATCCCTTTTGAAAAGTTGCACAATAGCCCAAGTTTAAAAGAGATCAACATTTTACATATGAAGCCGGTACAGAGGGCCATAACGTTCTCTCTCTCTTCCCCATCCCCCCAGCCCCCTTTTTACTGTGCCCTTTGCAGAATGTGTGGAGCCTCCTTTATCAGGCCAAGAGAGAAGAAGCTTCTGCATAAACAGAAGTGATTGGATTCTACCCTAAAAACGAAAAACCCATTGAACAATTAAGGAAGAAATATAAGGGGGAATTTTTTTCCCTTGTGTTAATGTCAATATTAACATACCGCTATAGGTTGAAATACTTTTTTTTTTTTTTGAGACAAAGTTTCACTCTTGTTGCCCAGGCTGGAGTGCAATGGCACAATCTTCACTCACTACAACCTCTGCCCCCTGGGTTCAACCAATTCTCCTGCCTCAGCCTCCCAGGTAGCTGGCATTATAGGCACCCACCACCATGCCTAGCTAATTTTTGGTATTTTTAGTAGAGATGGGGTTTCACCATGTTGCCCAGGCTGGTCTCGAACTCCAGAC